>NC_000005.10:91927988-92231019 GCF_000001405.40 Homo sapiens | reverse complement strand
TATCAAATGAGATAATTAATTATCTATGGGAATATTTGGTAGTTTTGAAGGATAAAATAAGGTTCAATGTGTTTTTACACCTCCATTTATTTAGTTAACTTGTCTTTCAGTGTCCAACCTGAAAAGACAATTGTGTATTTAATATATGAAGAGCACTATCAAACTGAATAATGTTAATTTAGAATGCCATAAAAGTTAGCTAATTAAGTCATCATAGATAGTGACAAAATTTATGTACTACTGTATCACTTTATATAGATATCTTAGGAAAGAAATGGAAGAATCTGTGTAGCTGCAGTGCAGAATAAATATTAGAGAACTTATATGATCACTCAGATTTTTTCTTACTTTAACTAATGCCATGAATTTATTTTAATTCAAGTATCTTGGTTTGATAAAATAAAAATGACTTTCAAGCCAATGAAATTTATATTTGTTATTCTTTCTGTCTATCTATTAAAGGCATCTGTAGCCCCCTTTCTTTGAGGAATTTCCTCACAAATGCCTGTCACCACAGAAGCTGAAAATGACAGATACTCATTTTCCTAGTTGTCTTGTCAGTTAGGATGGGGCATGTGACTAAAGTTACTTCAATCCAATGCCTCATGCTAGCCCCGGCATCAGAAGAATCATAAGATAACCATATAACCTGATTTACCTTGGACAGCCTTGGTTCATACCTGTTGTCCCAGTGTAGTTATTAATGTTATTAACTTCTTTCACTCTCAAGAGTCCCGGTATGAATGATGGATTGTATGGTCCTTTTAATCATATGGAATCATCTCTGGTGGTGGTAGGTGTAGCAGAACTAAATTCAGAGCTCAGCAGTGGCAATGGGTCTGGGGTAGTTTCTGATATCCTATGCGAGTGTTGTAGGCTGTACCTTTTAGGCCATAGTTACTGGTTGTAGTAGGGCTTCTTCCAGTGAGCCAGCTCTTGGAATTGTTTCTCTATCTATCTGCCTTTGGCTACCCAATTGTGTACTGTAGGCCTTCCAGTGGTGAAGTAAATTATACAACACCTTTCTTTTCTTCTTTTTTCTTTTCCATTTCAAAATGGAAACAGTTTATTTCACTGCTCACTTGGGGACACTGCCTTGCTAAGGACATTTCAGGAGGGAGAAGCGGGTGAAGAGAGCCAAGGACAGTGGCACACACTACCAAAAAGCCCCAGATAGGCTACCTATGTACAAATTATTTTCTTATCTGTTAAAATGTAGACTATTTGCATTTTCTTTTAACCACTTTGTCTTAGTCTCCAGTCATGGAGCCATAGGAATAGGATTTCTCAATATTCTGTAACACAGAAATTAATTTTTGTGGTCTTTTTGAATGTTACACATTCCTGTTTTTCAAAAAGAACTTACTTGTTTACTTTTACAGTATTCTTTCTGTTATAATTTAATTGTAAATACTCTTCAATTAAAAGCCTTTTTGATACGCCTCTGTAATTGTTATTTATAATAGTTCAAGTGTAAAATGTCTGAGATGTCATAAATATTTTCATGTATACAAACTCCCTTTAGTGGTTTTTGGTATAACCATCTTACTTATAAATAATCAATAAATTATTAAGATAATTATGATAATTATGAGAAGTAATACCTAAAAAGAGCATATACTAATGATTGACAGAATATTTACAAATGTTTTCAAATGTTGACTTCACATAAGTCCAAACCTTGACCTCTTTGAAACAATTTTTTTTTATTGAGAGATCAACAGGATTAAATTCCAAAATAATACAAGGGAAAATTATGTTTTCACCCCTTAGTTGTTTCAGGAAATCATTTGAACATAATGAAACCCTAGACCTTGATTTTAAGCAAGACTATGCATCTCTTTCCAACTCTGCATTTGGTGATGTCACATGAGTAGCTTGAAATTGGCCATGGTGGGAGGATTTATACCACGAAAATGAACGAACTTATAAATCATCATTTCCTCCCTACTGTTAGAGAGTTAGTTAAACATTTGCCAATATACCCCTGATTTAAAGTTCCTCAGGAAGTACACCTCTTTATCTGTATAAATGGAGAAAGGGCATTTATTTAGACTCAATAGACAAAATTACTTTAATCTCTGCTCTTGGTTGTAGTATAGTAGGTCATGTCAGGACAATGCTCCCACTGCAAAACTAAGAATATCCAATTAAATTATAACATAATATTTTAAAAAGATCGGAAAGATATGATTGTAGCAAGAACTTGATGAGTGAAATTCCAGAGAGTAAAAAGCCTTTAATGGCAAGCAGACTTCCAGAGCCATTTCTTTTTCCTAAAGGCGTTTGGTACTTGTGGGCTTGAGTTTAAGATTATGATTAGTACAGCTGTAAGTCTCCACTAGGGGAAAGAAAAACCAACAAAGCCATAGCTGCATGAAGCTGGAGTAGCAACCTGGAATCTGGGGGCCAATACAATATGCTGGAGAGCTAGGACAAGAAACACTTCTAAAATGAGTAAATCTCCCACAGTTACAATGAAAGTTTCAAGCACAGGGTCAGTTTCACTCTCAAGATATTTGCCAGAGTTTGAAGTTTTGGAGAGTTTGAGGCTGGAGGACTATTCTGGCAAGTCTAGAGAACAGAGCTCAACCTCCAATATTTTTAGGCCTGAGGAGAAACCACCCATGAGACTGAGTGGGTCTTGAAAGCTTCAAGGCTCACATTTTAGAATTAAGAACTAAACACAGAAAGACCTAGTTTTATTAAAACTGCAAAATATCCTTTACTGCCTCAGTTACTAACTAGGTTGTGGTGATCTGTGCCTCATCCTAGCTACCTAAGAGAGAAGAAAAGAAAACTCTCAGGTGGAAGATGATATAGCATCTGAAGCCCATGTTAATTTACATACAAGTTCTAGCATACATCTAAACATTACTATGAAGGTAAAAAGTAAAGAAGCTTTGAGTATTATTTAAATGAAAAAGAAAAACAAAGAGAAAATAGAAATAGACCCATTAGATTATTGATATTTATAAAGTAGCAGAAAAAGGCTGAAATAGCTATCAATAACATGTTAAACAAAATGTAAAAAAAGATGGACAACATAGAAACAATAGAATAAATGGAAAATAAAAGTCTACAAAGAATAATAAAATAATATAGGATTAAAAATATCTATATTAAGAACTCATTGGTTGAACATCAAACTGGATACAGATGAACAAAAGATTAGTGAACTTGAAAAGAGATTAAGAGAAAGCAACCAAGAAGAAAATAAGAGAGGGAAAGGAGAAGTAATGGGCAGAAGTAACATTGACAAAATAATAGAGAAATTTCCACAAACTGATCGTAGATACCAACCTACATATTCAAGAAACTTAGCAACCACCAGCAAAATAAATAAAAAGACTATAATTACACATATTATAGTTTAACTGCTGAAAACTGAAGACAAAAGAAAGAATCTCAAAAAACACCCAGGGAATAGACACATTTACCATTGAAAGGGTAGAAAAGATGGAGAGAAATTGAACTCTGACTTCTCAGAAGTCATGGTGCTCTGATGTCAATGGGGCAAAATATTCAGAATGGTGAAATAAAAAGTAACTGCTAACTCAGAATTCAAAACTCAAAACGAACTTCAAAAAATGATGGTGAAATAAAGTCATAAACTCAGTTTTCCACAAATAAATTGAGTTTCCACATTAGGCCTGTAATAAAGGAACAAAAAATAAATATAAAATAGAGTTCTTTGAAAAGTTAATACAATTGAAATACCTGTAAAAACTAATTATGAATAAGGAGAAAATCACAAATTATTCATCTCAGAAATGAAAAAAATCAATAAGATTATACACATCATTATATTGACTAGTAGGTATTATCTACTGCTTCATGCAAATCAATTCCACAATTTGTATGAAATGGAAAAACTTCTGAAAAAAAATTCCTCTTACAATAACTGAAGGGAGAAAAGGTAGTAAATACAAATAGTGATAGATCTGCTAAAATATTTAATGTTATTAAAAACTTTTCCTCTTTTATTCTCTCTACCTCTCAATCTCTCTCTGTCTCTCTCTGACTCTCTGTCTCTCTGTCTCTCTCTCTCTCTCCCTCTCTCTCTCACACACACACACGCACACACAAAATCAGGAACCAATGGCCATACTGCCGGCCATACCGCCCAAAGCAATTTATAGATTCAATGGTATTCCTATCAAACTACCAATGACATTTTTCACAGAATTAGAGAAAACAATTTTAAAATTCAAATGAAACCAAAAAAGAGCTCCAATAGCCAAGGCAGTCCTAAGCAAAAAGAACAAAGCTGGAAGCATCATATTACCCAACTTCAAGCTATGCTATAATACAAGGCCATAGTAACCAAAACAATATGGTACTGGTACATAAACAGACACAGAGACCAATGGAACAGAATAGAGAGCCCACAAATAATGTTGCACACCTACAACCACCTGAACTTTGACAAAGTAAACCAAAAAAAGCAATGGAGAAAAGACTTCCTTATTCAATAAATGGTGAATAACTGTCTTAAAGTTAATTCTTCCAAATATTTGAAGTAGAAATAAGACCAGATTTGTACAAACTCAGAGAATAGAAAAAGAGAAATCATTGTAATATTGATTTTAAAACATTGAAAGGACATTATACTGAAAGCAAATTATATTATAGGTCCTCTCTGATATATAGATTCAATTATTCTAAACAAAATATCAATAAAAGAAAACAAGTGATATGCACGTGTGTGTATTCCACAAGTACAGGAGAATTATCACTATTATACATTTGAAAATCAATCAATTTTACTCATGATATTAGTATAGAAATAAAGAAAAATCATGTGATTATCCCAATAGATGCAGATTTAAAACCCCTGTAAGATAAAAACTCTAAACAAAATAGGAATTAGAGCTTTCTTAATCTAATAACAAATATTATTTTAAAACTCTACTGTAAATAGCATACTCATCAATAAAATATTGATGCAAGTGCAATGAACTAAGTAAACAGAATTAAAGTGCATAAAAAATTAAAAGAAAGAATGAAACTGTCATTATTTGCAGAAACATAATGGTATACTTAGAAAATTCAAAAGAATCTGCAAACTACTCAAATTAATAGTAAATTTAGAACAATAGTTGAATGTAAGTCTAATATAAAAATAAATTGTATTTCTATATGTCAAAATCAAATATGATAAAAATTTAAAGTACTCTGGATTTTGGGGACTCCCAGCAAAGTAACTGCAACTCCAGCAAAATGGGAGGCTAGATCCCCGTACATACCCTGATATGGTTTGGCTGTGTCCTCATCCAAATCTCATTTTGAATTGTAGTTTCCATAATCCCCACATGTCACGGCAGGTACCAGGTGGACATAATTGAATCAGGGGGGCGGTTTCCCCATTCTATTCTTGTGATAGTGAGTTAGTTCTCATGAGATCTCATGGTTTTACAAGAGGCTTCCCCCTTCGCCGGGGACTCCTTCTTCCTGCCACCATATGAAGAAGGATTTATTTGCTTACCCTTCTGCCATGATTGTAAGTTTCCTGAGGCCTCCACAGTCATGCTGAACTGTGAGTCAATTAAATGTCTTTCCTTTATAAATTACCCAGTCTTGCGTATGTCTTCATTAGCAGCATGAAAATAGACTAATACAGTCAATTGGTACTGTAGAGAGTGGGATGCTGCTATAAGGAAACCAGAATATGTGGAAGCAACTTTGGAACTGGGTAACAGGCAGAAGTTGAAACAGTTTTGAGGGCTCAAAAGAAGACATGAAAATGTGGGAAAGTTTGGAACTTCCTAGAGACTTGTTGAATGGCTTTGACCAAAATACTGATAGTGAGATGGGCAATGAAGTCCAGGCTGAGGTGGTCTCAGATGGAGATGAGAAACTTGTTCGAAACGAAAATAAAGGTAACTCTTGTTATGCAAAGATACTGGCAGCATTTTGCCCCTGCCCTAGAGATCTGTGGAACTTTTGATTTAGGGTATCTGGCAGAAGAAATTTCTAAGCAGCAAATTGTTCCAGAGGAAGCAGAGCGTAAAAGTTTTGAAAATTTGCAGCCTGATGTTAGAAAAGAAAACCCCATGTTCTGGGGAGAAATTCAAGCCTGCTGCAGAAATTTGCATAAATAATGAGGAGACAAATGTTAGTCACCAAAACAATGGGGAAAATGTCTCCAGGCCAAGTCAGAGACCTTCACAGCAGCCTCTCCCATCACAGACCCAGAGGCCTAGGAGGAAGAAATGGTTTCTGGGCTGGGCCCAGGGACCCTCTGCTGTGTTCAGCTTCAGGACATGGTGCCCTGCATCCCAGTTGCTTCAGCTCTAGCCATAGCTAAAAGGGGTCAAGCTACAGCTCAGGCCATTGCTCCAGAGGGTGCACACCCAAGCCTTGGCAGCTTACAAGTGGTGTTGGGCATGCAGGTTCACAGAAGTTAAGCATTGAGGTTTGGGAACCTCCACCTAGATTTAAGAGGATGCATGCAAATACCTGGATGTCCATGCAGAAGTCTGCTGCTGTGGTGAAGCCCTCATGCTGAACCTCTGCTAGGGCAGTGCAGAAGGGAAATGTGAAGTTGGAGCCCCCATACAGAGTCTCCACTGGGGCACTGCCTAGTGGAGCTGTGAGAAGAGGGCCACTGTCCTTCAGACCCCAGAATGGTAGATCCACTGACAGCTTGCACCGTGTGGTGGAAAAGCTGCAGACACTATATGCCAGCCCATTAAAGCAGCCAGGACGGGGACTGTACCTGCAAAGCCACAGAGGTGGAGCTGCACAAGGCCATGGGAGTCCACCTCTTGCATCAGCATGACCTGGATATGAGACATGGAGTCAAAGGAGATCATTTTGGAACTTTAAGGTGTAATGACTGCCCTATTGGATTTTGGACATGCATAGGGCCTGTAGCCCCTTTGTTTTGGCCAATTTCTCCCATTTGGAATGGGTATATTTACCCAATGCCTTTACTTCCATTGTATCTAGGAAGTAAGTAACTTGCTTTTGATGTTACAGGCTCACAAGTGGAAGGGACTTGCCTTGTCTCAGATGAGACTTTGGACTTGGACCTTTGAGTTATTGCTAGAATGAGTTAAGAATTTCGGGGACTGTTGGGAGGGTATTATTGTGTTTTGAATTGTGAGAAAATGAGACTTGGGAGAGGCCAACAGTGGAATGATATGGTTTGGTTGTATCCCCACCCAAATCTCACCTTGAATTGTAGTTCCTATAACCCCCATGTGTCACGGGAGGGACAAGCTGGAGATTATTGAATCATGGGGTCTGTTTCCCTCATCCTGTTCTTGTGATAGTTAGTTCTCATGAGATCTATTGGTTTTACAAGGGGCTTCCCCCTTTGGGCACTCAATTCTTCTCCTTCCTGACACCATGTGAAGAATGACATGATTGCTCTACTTCCACCGTGATTCCTGAGGCCTCCCCTGCCAATCTGAACTGTGAGTCAATTAAACTTCTCTTATTTTGTAAATTATTTAGTCTTGGGTATGTCTTTCTTAGCAGCATAAGAATGAACTAATACATTTCCCCTAGGAAAGAAGCTGAATCCAGGGACTGAGCAGTGATGGTCTGTTGGACCCACTTCCACAACGTCTCACAGGATAAGACCCACTGGTTTGAAATTCCAGCCAGCAACTGGTAACAGTGTTGAGCATACCTGGGACAAAGCTCCAGGGGGAAAGGCAGACTGCTATCTTTGCTGTTTGGGCAGCTTAGCTGTTCCAGCATGTGGGCTTTGGAAAGCCACTAACCAGGGGCAGAAGGGGGATTCCCCAGCATAGCATAGCTGCTCTACTAAAACGTGGTCAGAAGGCTTCTTTAATAGGGTCCCCAATCCATTCCTCCTGACGGGGTGGGACTTCACAACTGGGGCCTCCAGCTACCCCACCAGTGTTCTGTGGCCAACTGAGATTTGAAAACTCCCTGGGACAGACCTCCCAGAGGGACGAGCAGGCAGTCATCTTTGCTGTATGGATGAGTTAGCTGATCTAGCCAGTGGGCTCTTGAAGGCCCAAGACAACTTGGGCAGAAGCAGTATCCCAGCACAAAACAGCTGCTCTATGAAAGTGTGGCCAGACTGCATCTTTAAAAGGATCACCAATCCCATTCCTCCTCCCTAGGAGGGACTGCCCCCCTTCAGCCACCCTCATGGGTATGCTCTGGCCAACAGAGATTTGAAAATGCCCAAAGGTAGGACAGAACTGCCAGATGAAGGGTCAGGCTGCCATCTTTGCTGCTTGGGTGACTTAGCAGTTCCAGCCTTTGGGCTTTGGAGAGTCCAAGCCAACCGGGGCAGGAATGTTACCACAGCACAGCACAGCAGCCCCACAAAATAATGGCCAGTCTGCTTTTTTAAGTGGGTCTGCAACCCTGTTCCTCATCACCAGGTGGAGCCTCCCAACCAGAGTTTTCAGCTACCCCATTGATGTTTTCTAGAGGTTTCAGGCCTCCCTGGTACAGAGGTCCCAGGTGGAGAGGCAAGCCATCATCATTGCTGTTTGAATGACTTAGCTATTCCAGCTTTTTGTCTTTGGAGGGTCCAAGGCAACCAGGGACTGAAGTAGACCCACAGCACAGCACAGCTGCTCTAAAACAATATGGCCAGACTACTTTTTAAGTGGGTCCCCAATCTCCTTTCTCCTGCCTGGGTGAGACCTCACAATCAGAGTATCCAGCCACCTCCTTCAGGTGCATTTAGGCTGGCAACAGGTCTGTACCTCCCTAGGACAGAGCTCCCAGAGGAAGGGGCAGGATGCCATCTTTGCTATTTAGCAGCCCTCACTGATGATACCTCCAGGTACTGAAAAATGCAAGGTGACTAGGGACTGCAGTGAACCCCCAGCATACTACAGGGTCCTCATGGAAAAGTGGCCAGACAGTTAGAAGAAAAAAAAAATCCAAAAGTCAGAAGCCTCAAAGATTGAAGGCAGGTAAGTCCACAAAGATGAGAAATAATCGGCACAAGAATGCTGAAAGATCGAAAGAAAACAGAGTGCCTTCTCCCTCCAAATGACTGTGTCACCTCTGCAGCAAGGGTTTGAAACCAGGTTAAAGCTGAGATGGCTGAAATGACAGAAGTAGAATTCATAATATGGATAGAAACAAAGTATGCTGAGCTAAAGGAGTACATTGTAACCCAATGCAAGGAAGCTAAAAATCATGATAAACCATTGCAGGAGCTGATAGAAAAAAAAAAACCAGTATAGAGAAGAATGTAACTGACCTGAAAGAGGTGAAATACACATTAAAATAATTTTATAATTATATATATATCCTATTTGTATATATGTCCTACTTTATGTATATAATATATCCTATTTTTTATATATCTTATTTTTATATCCTATTTTTTATATATCACATATATATATCCTATTTTATTTTTATATATATAAGGGCGAGTTTATTAAGTATTAACGTCCATGATCACAAGGTCCCACAGTAGGCTATCTGCAAGCTGAGGAGCAAGGAGAGCCAGTACGAGTCACAAAACTGAAGTACTTGAAGTCCGATGTTCGAGGGCAGGAAGCATCCAGCACAGGAGAAAGATACAGGCTGGGAGGCTAGGCCTGTCTCTCCTTTTCACGTTTTCTGCCTGCTTTTACTGGAAGCCGATTAGATTGTGCCCACCAGATTAAGGGTTGATCTCCCTTCCCCAGCCCACTGACTCAAATATTAATCTCTTTTGGCAACACCTACATAGCCACACCCAGGAACAATAGTTTGTATGTGTCAATCCAATTAAGTTGACACTCAGTATTAACCATCACAAGTCCATCCCTTGTCAACTTGAACCCATACACATCTCCTTAGATCATATGTAATCTTCAAATAAAGACAATAATGAGGTCATAGTTATGCCTAACATGATACAACTGTCCCTCATACAACCTGAAATGCACCAATCCCCAACCCAAATACTATTACATAAAGTTAACAATACTTAAATGCTGATATGAAGTCAATAAATCTTATGTCACATGATAAAGGAAAAAGGAAATAAAATGAAGATATTTTCTTAGTACAAGTGTATACAGGCAAAAACGTGTTTTTAACAAATGAAGGAGGAAATACCCATGACAGTTACAGTCCTCTTTTCTGCAGCTGGCCACGTGGTGTTAGCTGGTATTGATGACTACCTTCTTCTACTGCCCATTCTGAATTCCCTTTTCCTTCATCAAGCACCTCAGCAGATCATGGTTTTTTTCCTGGTGGAGTGACCCAAACCTTCCTTCCTGAAGGGTCTGGATTATTTGTAGTCCTGCCTGGATTGGGCTGTTGTAGTTTCCCGTTGACCTTAATCACAGAGCATGGTAATATTAAGAGATGCACTAATGGATCTCCTGTATTCCATGCATACTTTCCCTTACCTCTGTTGTGGGGTAGTAGACTGATTTCATCTTGATAGTCCTGGTCAATCACCCCAGCCAACACTGTAACTGTCTTCTTAGCCTGTTGACTTAAAGATAGGAGCCCAAAGTTTCCAGGTGGCAATCTTAACTTCCAGTTTAATGGAATCATTGTTGTGTCTCCTGGTGGCAGCACTCCCCTCTCTGGTACTAATTCCTCTAGGCCGTGACTAATGTTGCAGGAACAGGAAGCAAAAATTTTGCTAGTTGATCAGTAGGGGTGATGGTAAGTGGTGCCACTTCCACTTCCACCCCTTGATTCCTGGACTCATGAATCCTGGCTATGGGAGAAATGGTACCATATATTGGACACTGATTCAGAACATACATGGCCTTCTGGATAACTTTGTCCTAGCCCTGCAAAGTATTGTCACCTAGTTGGTGTTGTAATTGTGACTTCTAAAGGTCATTCCATCATTCTATAAATCCAGCTGCTTCAGGAAGATGGGGATCATGGTAAGACCAGTGAATTCCATGAGCATGAGCCCATTGCCACACTTCTTTAGCCATAAAGGGAGTGCCTTGGTCAGAGGCAATGCTGTGTGGAATATCATGATGGTGGATAAGGCATTCTGTGAGTCCACTGATGGTAGTCTTTGCAGAAGCATTGCGTGCAGGATAGGCAAAACCATATCCTGAGTAAGTGTCTATTCCAGTGAGGACAAACCTCTACCCTTTCCATGATGGAAGAGATCCAATATAATCAACTTGCCACCAGGTAGCTGGCTGATCATTCTGGGGAATCGTGCCATATCGAGGGCTCAGTGTTGGTTTCTGCTGCTGACAAATTGGGCACTCAGCAGTGGCCATAGCCAGGTTACCCTGGTGAGTGGAAGCCCATGTTGCTGAGCTTATGTGTAACCTCCATCCCTGCCACCATGCCACTTTGTTCATGTGCCTATTGGGCAATGACAGGGGTGGCTGGGGAAAGAGGCTGAGTGGTGTCCACAGAATCGGTCATTCTATCCACTTGATTATTAAACTCCTCTTCTGCTAAGGTCACCCATTGGTGAGCACTCACATGGGATACAAATATCTTCACAGTTTTTGACCACTCAGAAAGGTCCATCCACATAACTCTTCTCCAAGTTTATTTGTCACCATTTTCCAATCATGCTTCTTACAAGTCCCTGACCATCTAGCCAAACCATTGGCTACAGCCCATGAATCAGCACATAACCACACATCTGGCCATTTCTCTTTCCATGCAAAGTGCACAACTAGATGCACTGCTTGAAGTTCTGCCCACTGAAAAGATTCCCCTTCACTGCTGTCCTTCAGGGATGTCCTAGAAAGGGGCTGTAGTTCTGCAGCTGTCCACTTTTGGGTGGTGCTTGCATATCTTTCAGAACCATTTGTGAACCAGGCCCTAGCCTTTTCTTCCTCTGTCAACTCTTCATAGGGAACTCCCTATGAGGCTATCAGTGCAGACTAGGGGAAAGAAGGCAGGTGGCAGGAGTGGAGACCATGGACATTTGAGACACTTCCTCAGGTAACATACTTGTGTCTTCAGGACCTGCTCGAGTCTGATGACATATATACGACTTTATTTTGATGATGGAATGCTGCTGTTCATGACCCACTTTATGGCTATTCATCAGAAAACACCCAGTTCATGATAGGCAGTTCAGGTCACATGGCGACCTGATGACCCATAATCAAATGTTCAGTTTCCAACAAAGACCAGTAATTGGCCAAGAACTGTCTTTCAAAAGGAGAATATTTATCTGCAGAAGATGGCAGGGCTCCAAAATCCTAGAGGCTTCTGCTGTGATTCACCTATGTGGGCTCACCAAAGGCTCCAAACAGCATCCCTATCTGTGACTGACACCTCAAGCACCATTGGATCTGTTGGGTCATATGACCCAAGTGGCAGAGCCACTTGCACAGCAGCCTGGACCTGTTGCAGAGTCTTCTCCTGTTCTGGACCCCACTCAAAACTGGCAGCCTTTTGGGCCACTCAATAAACGGGGTTGGAGTAACACACCCACATGAGGAATTTATTGCCTCCAAAATCCAAATAGGTCCACTAGGCATTGTGGCTCTTTCTTGGTTGTAGGAGGGTCCAAATGCAGCAACTTATCCTTCACATTAGAAGGAATTTTGTTACAGGCCCTACACCACTGGACCCCTAGAAATTTTACTGAAGCAGAAGGTCCCTGAATTTTACTCGGATTTATATCCCATCCTCTGGCATGCAAATGTCTCACCAATAAGACCATTGTGTTTGCTACTTCTTGCTCACTGGCTCCAATCAGCATAATGTCATCAATGTAAGGGGCCAGTGTGATATCTTGTGGAAGAAAAGTAATCAAGGTCTCCTTGAATAAAATTATGACAAAAAGTCAGAGTTGATATACCTCTGAGGTAGGACAGTAAAAGTATATTGCTGGCCTTGCCAGCTGAAGGCAAATTGCTTCTGATGGGCCTTATGGACAGGAATGGAGAAAAAGGCATTTGTCAAGTCAATGGCTGCATACCAGGTACCAGGAGATGTGTTAATTTGCTCAAGCAATGAAACCACATCTGGTACAGCAGCGACAATTGGAGCCACCACTTGGTTAAGCTTACAATAATCCACTGTCTTTCTCCAAGATCTGTCTGTCTTCTGCACTGGCCAAATGGGAGAGTTGAATAGGGATGTGGTGGGAATCACCACTCCTGCATCTTTCAAGTCCTTGATGGTGGCACTAATCTCTGCAATCCCTCCAGAAATGTGATATTGTTTTTTATTTACTATTTTTCTAGGTCAAGGCAGCTCTAATGGCTTCCATTTGGCCTTTCCCACCATAATAGCCATCATCCTATCAATCAATCAGGGAGCCAATGGGGTTCTGTCAGCTGCTCAGTATGTCTATGCCAATTATGCATTCTGGCACTGGGGAAATGGCCAAAGGATGAATCTGGGGACCCACTGTAAGTCAGACCTGAGCTAAAACTTTATTAATTACCTGACCTCCATAAGCCCCTACTTTAACTGGAGGACCACAATGACGTTTTGGGTCCTCTGGAATCAACGTCAGCTCAGAGCCAGTGTCCAGTAGTCCCTGAAATGTCTGATCATTTTTCTTTCCACATTGCACAGTTACCCTGGTAAAAGGCCAGAGGTATCCTTGGGGAAAGATGGGAGAAATATTCACTGCATAAATTGTTGGTAACGTAGTGGGATCCTTCCTCAAGGGGAGCTGGCCCCCCCTTCATTCAAGGGGTGTGAGCCTATAAACTGGCTCAAGTCTGAAAATTGGTTGAGGGACCATGATTCTCTGTTTTTATAATTCAAATTAGTATTTTGTCCATTAGACCTAGAAGTTTTCTGTTTGTATAATTTAAGTAGGAATGAAGTAGGCTTCCTATCAATTTCACTTCTAGGAACACCATGATTAATTAGCAAATGCCAGAGCTCTACATGAATCATACTATTCTGATTGCCTCTTTGCCTCTGCTGTCCATTACGGTAGCTATACCCACCTTGCCTTTGATGGTTGAGTGCTGCCACTTGGCCCCTGCCACCTCAGGATCCAATTATTCCCATTGTATTTAAATTTTGTAGTTGAGTGACTGTGGTTCCCACCGTTACCTCTGACATACAGAGAAGAGCAATTAGAGGGCCCTTAAAAGATGCAGGTGCAGCCCTCACAAATCTACTTTTCAAGGCATTGGTCAAGGGTATATTTGCTGGACCCTCCCAGCTTGGATGTGTAGGTCTAAAGTGACTAATCCACTCCACCACCCCAATCTCCCCAAGCCTTTGGATCCCTTCCTCTACATTAAACCAAGGGAGATCAGGCATTTCCAGCTTGCTCACAGTGGGACATCTTTTGATCCATATTACAACTAACCAAGCAAATAAACTATTAGAACATTTTTAACTCCCTGAGCTTCAAAATTAAAAGCAGAGTCTCTACTTAGTAGGCCCAAATCAATAAATTCAGCCTGATCCAACTCTATGTTTCTTCCACCATTATTCCACACCCTTAATATCCATTCCCATGACTGTTCTCCAGATTGTGCTTTTATAAATTAGAGAACTCAATCAGTTCTTTTTGAATGTAGCACATCTCTGCATGGGTCATACTCTCAACCTCACCTCCAGGGGTCCGCAAGGATTTTAGTCTAGTTATAGGTCTAGAAGCAAACTAGGGTGTTGGGGGGTGGCTCCTGAGGAGAATCAACATTATTTTGTCTGGCGACTGCCTCAGGGGAGGCAATCACTGTTGCCTCAGGCAGCAAGGATTTATCTCCTCAGACAATGGTGGAAAGGCTGATGGCAGCATGGGTCAGGGAGGGGATGGTGCCACTAGTGGGGATAGGGAGGCTGTTCCTTCTGGCAAAAAAAAAAAAAAGGTTCATTAGAGTTTACAAACTCAGTGTCCCCAGCTTCATCATGGTCCTCCCACACATCCCCATTCCAAGTTTCAGGGTCCCATCTTTTTCCAGTTAATGCCCTCACTTTAACAGTAGACACCTGGCAAGGCTGTGCATGCACCTTTCACTGCAGGTCAGCCACTCATATGATAAAATCTTGTGTCTATTTTTCCACAATTTCAGCTCTTTCTCTACAGGAAGTAAGACTCTCACTCAGGACAATCTTGGCTGATTTGAGGCTCAATATCTGCTTCTGAAGCTGGGAGACAGAATCCCCGAGTTCATCATTTTCTTTCATCACTTTGCCTATTAAACTCAGAAGCAACCAACCAGCTTCATTATGTTCCTTGGTTCTCCATATGTGGTCAAAGGTATTATCTATAGAGTCACTAAACTCCTTGCCTTTCATGAGCAGTGAATCAGGAGTGTTAAATGCATTTATTTTGCATAACTCTCTAAACAGTTCACATCGAAGACTATCAATCTTCCCCATACTACTAGAAATAGAGTTCTTAGAATTTTGGGGTCTAATCATATTAAGCAGCCAACTCCAGAAACCCCAAAACCAATGAAAGAACTCCATCCTTAATATTCTGTTCCTCTAGAACCACTCCTGGTACCAAAATCTGTATTAGTAAGGGTTCTCTTAGAGGGACAGAAATATATATATATATATATAAACGTGAGCTTATTATTAACTTCCATAATCATGAGGTCCCAGAATAGGCTGTGCAAGCTGAGGAGCGAGGAGAGATAGTCCGAGTCCCAAAACTGAAGAACTTGAGAACTTGGAGTCTGATGTTCAAGGGCAGAAAGCATCCAGCATGGGAGAAAGATGTAGGCTGGGAAGCTCTCCTTTTCATGTTTTTTGCCTGCTTTATGTTCACTGGAAGCTAATTAGATTGTGCCCAACAGATTAAGGGTGAAACTGCCTTCCCCAGCCCAGTGACTCAAATGTTAATCTCTTTTGGCAACACCCACACAGACTCACCCAAGATTAATACTTTGTATCCCTCAATCCAGTCAAGTTGACACTCAGTATCAACATCACACTGCCCAAAGCAATTTATAGATTCAATGTTATTCCTATTAAACTAACATTGACATTCTTCACAGAATTAGAGAAACTTATTTTAAAATTCATATGGAACCAAGAATGAACCCCAATAGCCAAGACAATCCTAAGTAAAAAGAAGAAAGCTGGAGGCATCACGCTACACAACTTCAAACACTAGTACAGGGCTACAGTAACCAAAGCAGCATGATAGTACTGGTACAAAAACAGACACAGACCAATAGAACAGTATAGAGAACCCAGAAATAAGACTGCACACCTACCACTGACTGATCTTCGACAAACCTGACCAAAACAAGCAATGGGGAAAGGATTCCCTATTCAATAAATGGTGCTGAGATAACTGGCTAACCATATGCTGAAGATTAAAACTGAACCCCTTTCTTACACCATATGAAAATTAACTCACAATGGATTAAAGACTTAAATGTAAAGCCCAAAACTATAAAAACCCTGGGAGATATCCTAGACAATACCATATAGGACACAGACACGGGCAAGGATTTCATAATGAAATTGCAAAAAGCAATTGTAACAAAAGCAAAAATTGATAAATGGGATCTAAACCTAAAGAGTTTCTGCACAGCAAAAGAAACTATCAACAGAGTAAATGGACAACCTACAAACTATGCATTCAACAAAGCTCTAACATCCAGCACCTATAAGAAACTTAAACAAATGTGCCAAAAAAATCCCATAAAAAAAGTAGGCAAAGGACATGAACAGACAATTTTCAAAAGAAGACATACATGCAGCCAACAAATATACGGATAAAAAGTTCAACATTTGTGGTCATGAGAGAAATTCAAATCAAAACCACAATGAGATACCATCTCACACCAGTCAGAATAACTATGATTAAAAAGTAAAAAATAACCAATGCTGATGAGGTGTGGAGAAAAAGTAGTGCTTGTACACTATTGGTGGGAGTGTAAATTAGTTCAGCCATTGTGGAAGACAGTGTTGTGATTCCTCAAAGACCTAAAGACAGAAATCTCATTCATCCCAGCAACCCCATTACTTGGTATATACCCAAAGGAATATAAATCATTCCATTATAAAGACACATGCACACATATGTTTACTATAGCACTATTCACAATAGCAAAGACATAGAATCAACCTAAAAGCCCATCAATAGTAGACTGAATAGAGAAAATGTGGTACATGTACACCATATAATAATATGCAACCATAAAAATTAAGGAAATCATGTCCTTTGCAGGGACACGGATGGAGCTGGAGGCCATTATACGTGGGAAACTAACACAGGAACAGAAAGCCAAATACCCCTTGTGCTCACTTATAAGTGGGAGCTAAATGATAAAAACACACTGACACACAGAGGGGAACAGCACACATTGTAGCCTTTTTGATGGTGGAGGTTGAGAGGAGGGAGAAAATCAGGAAAAATAGCGGGTACTAGGCTTCATAACTGGGTGATGAAATAATCTGTTCAACACTCCCCATGACACAAGTTTACCTGTGTAACAAACCTGCACTTGTACCCTGAATTTAATATAAAAATTTTAAAAAATGAAAAGTAGTACAATTTACATTATAAAAATATCAAATGTCTAGTAACAAATTGATAAAATGTACAGCAAATGAAGTTTAAAACTCTCATTTTTAAACTGTTATTAAGAAAAATTGAAGAAATCTTCAATAACTGAAGAGATACTCATTTGCATGGATTACAGCCAAAACTGTAAATATGGCAGCTTTCTACATCATTCTGTAGATTCAATAAAATCCTAACCAAATTTCTAAAAATGTTAGTAAATTTAATGGCTGATTTAAAAATTTATGCTGAAATTTAACAAGTCAAGAATCATCAAGGTAATACTATAGAAGTGCTAATATGGAAGATTTATAGTACCAGTAACAAAAGACTAAAATACCATAAGTAAAGAAGTAAAGGTATATTAATTAAGACAGTATTATATTACCATAAGGACAGGGAAACTGACCGAGAGAGAAAAATTAAGTGACCAGAAACAATACAAAATGTAAATTGTCATGTGATTTATGACTAAGTTGACATCACAATTCCACAATTCCACATGAATATCCAATTTAGTATATCCAAAAAAGTATATTCAAATGCTTACTTCACACTTTACATAGAGACACAGATACATATTCTAGATGGATTACAAATATAACTCCTAATGTTTAAACATTCAAGTTGTAGAAAATACATGACCTTGGAATAGGCTATGATTCCTTAAATAAGGTACAAAAAGGCTAACTGTAAAATTAATTAAGAGAAAAAACATAGTCTTTTATGTTTACCAATAGAGTAAATATTTACCATTGCTAATGTTCTTCATTTCTCCTTCAAATATGAATTTCTATCTGGTGTAATTTTCTTTCAGGCTGAATAATTTGTTTAACATTTCTTTTACTGAAGGTATACTGTCCAGGAATTCTCTCTTATTTACCTGAAAAATGTATTTATTTCACCACGATTGGAAGAATAGGCAGAAGAAGGGCCTCAAAGGATGTTCACCTCCTGATACTGTTTGGCTCTGTGTCCCCACCCAATCTCATCTTGTAGTTCCCATAATTCCCACATGTTGTGGGAGGGACTCAGTGGGAGATGACTGAAGTATGGATGGGTGGCTCTTTCCTGTGCTGTTCTTGTGATAGTGAATGGGTCTCATGAGATTTGATGGTTTTGAAAAATCAGAGTTGCCCTGCACAAGCTCTCTCTTTGCCTGCTGCCATCCATGTAAGATGTGACTTTCTCCTCCTTGTCTCCTGCCATGATTGTGAGGCTTCCCCAGTCACATGGAACTGTGAGTACTCCATTAAAACTCTTTCCTTTGTAAATGGCCCAGTCTTGGGTATGTCTTTATCAGCAGCATGAAAACAGGCTAATACACCTCCTAATTCCTATGAATAAGGGTATTTACATGGAAAAGGAATTTTGTAAATATAATTAAGCATTTTAAAATGAGTAGTTATTATGAATTTTCCTGGTGTGCTCAGTGTAATCACAAGGGTCCTTATAAGTGAAACAGGGATGCATAGAATCATAGAGAAGATGTGAGACAGAAATAGAGGTCAGAATGATTCAACTGCTGGTGTTTAAGAGGACCATGAGCCAAAGAATGTAGGCAGCCCTAGAAGCCAGAAAAGGCAAGAAAATTAACTCTCCCCCATGGCATCCCTTCCCCACCTGCCGAGCCTCCATAAGAAGTGTGATTCTGCAAACACCTTGAGTTTACTCCAGTGACATCCACTTCAGACTTTTGACCTCCAGAACTTAAGATAAAACCTTTCATGTTGTTTCAAGCCATTGACTTTGTGGTAATTTGTTACAGCCGGAATAGGAAACTAATGAACTCACCTATGTTTTTGAAGATTTTCACTGTATACAGAATTCCAATTTTATTTTTTAGTCAGCACTTTAAAGATATCATTTTATTGTCTACAGGTTTCAACTTTTTTTCAGCCACCATTCATAGTGTTCCTTAACTATATGTAATTTGTCATTTGTCTCTCTCCACTTTCAAGGTTTTCTTTGTATTTGTTGACTTCAAAATGTGCCTAGTTGTGCTTATTCTTGCGTTAAAGTGAATTGAATATGGCCTGAGAAGAACCCTGTATTTATGTATTTGAGACTTTGTGGATGAACTGTAATCTAACTTAATAGGTAGACAAGATTGAAAACCGAACTTAAGAGTATGTGCCTGTAACAATAGCTGAGTATTGGCCAATCCCAGCAGCCGTACTTCAACCACTCATATACTGCCGAGTGTTCGAACTGTGTTCAAATAAAGCAAACGCTGAGCTGTAACCAATCCGGTTGTTTCTGTACCTCACTTCTGATTTCTGTATGTCACTTCCTTTTTTTCTCTATAAATTTTTCAGCACCCGTAGCTGTGCTGGAGTCTCTGAATCTGATGTGATTCTGGGGGCTGCCTGATTTGTGAATCATTGATTGCTCAGTTAAGCATCTTTAAATTTAATTCAGCTGAAGTTTTTCTTTTAACACTCGCATTTGACTTGCTTGTATTTGGGTAAGGTTCTCGGATGTTTAGATTTACGTTTTTCACCTAATTTGGGTAATTTTTAGCTATTATTTCTTAAAATACTATTGATGATCCATACTCTACTTTCTCACCTCTGAGACTCTTAATTACATACTCATTAGACAACTTGATATGTTTCACATGATATTGGGCTTTATTAATATTATTATCATTATTATTATTTTCCTTTATCTGTCTTTTTTGAGCAGTATGGTTTCTATTAATCTACCTTCAAGTTTTATTACCTTTTTTTTTTTTTTTTTTTTGATTTGGAGTCTTGCTCTGTCTCCAGGCTGGAGTGCAGTGGCACAATCTTGGCTCACTGCAACCTCTGCCTCCTGGGTTCAAGCAATTCTCCTGCCTCAGCCTCCCGAGTAGCTGGGACTACAGGTGCACACCACCACACCTGGCTAATTTTTGTATTTTTAGTAGAGACAGGGTTTCACCATGTTGGCAAGGATGTTCTCGATCTCTTGAACTCATGATCCGCCCACCTCGGCCTCCCAAAGTCCTGGGATTACAGGTGTGAGCAACAGCCCCCGGCCCAAGTTTTATTACCTTTTTATTTGCCATCTTTAATTGCTTTTAAATGCAATCTTTTTAAAAAATCAAATAATGTACCTTTAAGTTCTAGAATATCCATTAAATGGAATTACTTTTACAAAAATTATAACTGAGGAAATTATGACAGTGAAAGAGATCAGAACTAACCGACTCCATCTGGCTTCTGATCTCTAAGCTGTCCTTGTTCATTCTTGGGCATAGGCTAAACTAAACTTGGGAAGGAATTTAGCTTATAGTTTAACTCTGAAACAAAGATGATAATAGTCCTTTCCAAAAACAAACAAACAAACAAACAAAAAAATCTTGCCTCAGGACCAATTTGCCTTTGTAGGACTAACAAATTAGCTACAAGATTAGAAGTTATAATTTAAGCACCATGCAGCCTCTGGCTGCAAGAGTCTGAACTTCCCCAAATTGTTCCTGGGAATAACATCACTATTGTAACATCTAAGATGAGTGCTTGAGATATTTTGCAGACCCTGTACTTGATGCACCGGCTGACACCATGCAGACTGGTAATCTGGCTCAGCTGGTTCTATAATCCCACCCAGGAACAGAAGACAGCAAACAAACAAACAAACAAACAAAAAACTCACTTACATCCCCTATGATTCCATCTCCAACCCTACCAATCAGCACTCCCCACTTCCAGAGCCGCCAACCTCCAAATTCTCCTTAAAAACTCCATTCTAGAATGCTTGGGCAGACTGATTTGAGTAATAATAAAACTTCAGTCTTCCACACAGCTGGCTCTGTGAGAATTACACTTCTCCATTACAATTCCCCTGTCTTGATAAATTGGCTCTGTCTAGGCAATGGGCAAGGTGAACCTGTTGGGTGGTTACATTAATCTTTCTTATGTATTTCATTTCTATGCTGAAGTTTCCCATCTCTTCAATCTTTATAACCAAGGTTTTCTTAGACATATTAATAATAATTACTTTAAAATCTCAGTCTGATAATTACGACACCTTTTCATTTTGATTTTCTTTTTATGGATTGCTTTGTCTTTTCTTGACTATGGGCTAAATTTTGCTACTTCTCATGACTCCTCATTTTTTTCTGTCAGGTAGATACTTTGTAGAAATTCTAGCTTCTATTATCTTTCACTAAAGAGTTTTAATCTGGCTGGACTAAAACTATAAACTTCTTTTTTTCCTTCTGTTGTATAAGTGTTGAGACCTTCATTCACTTACCTCAGTCTTTCAGTTGCTGCCTTCCGAGGGGCTTCTTGGAGTCCCAACTATGCCTACTTAGTTGAAAGGCCTCTAAGAGCTGAGGTGGACTTTACAAGAAGATTTGGGTTTCCTCATTTATGTCTCCTCCCTTTCTGGGATTTTCTCCTCACTTCCTAGGCACTCTAGAAACCCTGGATTCCATCCTCGGCCTCCTAACATGAATGCTAGTAAGATGTGAATTTCTGCTTCAGCTTTAGCAGCTTCATGCTATGTGGACCAGAGACTGTCACAGCTTATCTGACCCAATGAAGTTCTCAATTTTTATAGACTGACTGTCTTCCAGATTGTTTTTTACTTTGGTCACTTTCCAAAACCTTACATTTTTCTTATATCTTCCAGATTTCATAGTAGTTCATCTGAATTAAATGTTAATTTTCTGTAACATTACCAAAAGCACAATTGTGCCAATCATATTAAAATAGTAATAAATGAACTATATCAAGTGAATATATTCTTAATACAAATTATATCATTTAGAATGTGAAAATGCAAGCCTCAGAGTGAGAGAAGATACTCTCAATTCCCATATCCAAGAAGGTCTTCTATCTAGAATATATCAAGAATTTTTATTCATCAAGAACAAAAAGATAGAAAGCCCAATAAGAAATGAGCAAAAGACTTGAACAGACATTTTTCAAAAGAGAATATCTGATGGCCAATACATATAAGAAAAAGTGATTAATTTCATTCATTATTGGGGAAATGCATATTAAAAATGCAACAAGATGCCACTATACACGCATCAGAACTGCTAAAATTAAAGAGACAGAAAATAAATTTTGGCAAGAATACAGAGAAACCAGAAATATTAGACATTGGTAGGAAAGTAGTCTTTGGTAACATCTACTAAAGTTTAACATATGCACATGCTATGACTCAGCAATTCCAATCCTAGGTTTATGCCAAATAGAAATACGTACCTATCCTTACCAAAAGACATACATTAGAATACTCATAACAACATTATATTTAGTATCTTCCATTTGGAAATGACTCAATGGCAATTAATTTTACAATGTGGAAATAATGATATAGTTATCCGATTACATACTATGCAAAACTATAGTATACTGTACAAAATAATAATTGTAAATAATTTTTTAAAAACTATAACTGCACACAATATTTATGACTCTCACAAATGTTATGTAAAATAAGCAAGACACAAAAGAATGTATGATGTATTGCTCCATTTATATCAAGTATCAAATTAATCAATGCTGTTAGAATGACAGTGTTGTGGGTACTGATAATGTCTTATCTGGTGGTTACATGGGCATATTCATTTTGTATAAATTAATTTTGTTACATGTTTATAATATGCACATCTTTCTGTTAAACATCAATAAAGTTCTTAACATATTTTAATACCATATATGTCAAATTTAAAACTTTGGTATTAAAAACCTCCTCTGAGACAAAGGAAAGAAACAAATGAATTTTATAGAGAAAACAAAATTTGAGGTTTATTATAGTTTAATAATTATCACTGACTCAGAATATCAATCACATCTATTGATTCTTTGTGCATTTTCTGTATGAACATATGTTTTGCTATTTTGAAAAGTCTATGGCATCTTTCCACATTATTTTCATGATGTATACTTTCTTGCCTATCTATATAATAAATGACTGTTAAAAACAATAATTAAATCTTACAATAGTGTTTTCAGTAAAGCTTCAATGAGAACAAAATTATAGAGTATGAGCAGTGCTTTTAAAGGTTATAATATTTCCTCATTCCTTCTTTAATGCCTGGAACATCTGTATCAGAATTTTCATTATTTAAGTCTTCAAAACTGCAAATCATCTTAACATTAGGAGAAGCCTTTCAAAACAACATACCACGCTAATATTTCCTGCTTTACAAGTCCACTTCCCTTCCCCCTCCCTCAAAGGTCCCCAAACCCTTCAGGCCTTGAATCATGTCACTTATCATTCTAGCTAAAGGGAACTGGAGAGCACTCCCTTGGGTTCCTATTAACACCTGCTACTTAATCCGCCAGAGGGGCTGTTGGTGACTGATGGCAAATAGTTTCATCCATCTATCCCTCCTCCCTCCCCAGAGGGTCTACCACCATTGCAGCCATCCCAGCCTGGGGAGTGAGAATAACAGATACTGGGCAATATACCAAGTTGGAGAAATATATCCAATTGTTCAAAAGCTGGAATTTGTTAGTAGTAGTAAATTCCCAGTTATAAATTTGCAAACCAAAAACATGCAGCTGTGGAATGTATTAGCTGCAAATCTGTAATTTTTTAGCATTCAGATTTATAAATATTTTAGGTATTGTACAAATACAGCAGCAAATAGTAATAGAGACCTCCCTGGATAGAAGGCAGCTACAGATAAGACATATGTGGCTAAGCGTAGGGGGTCCTTACATTTTGAACGAGGAATAGGTTTCGCAGTGCAGCCATGTCTAATTTAAACTGTTTTCGTAATCTGCTGCCAGGGGACCATGCTGGGTGATTCACAGTAATGAACTCCACCTGGATGCTCTGTAAATCTGAGCAGGAGAACTGACTGCAGCCTACTAACTGTTGTTACCACAGATCTGGTTGAGTGAGCTCTAATTTGATCATTAAGTGACCATTCCACCAAGGAACCATGAGAAATGCTTAGAGACTTCCACTTCACGATAGTGCAAAAAAGTCTGCTATTTAAATAAGATTATTATGAAGTAAGATGACCTATTTTGAGAAAAAACAGGAATGTCTGTGGAACAATATAAACAAACTAATATTAAATATTTAATCTTGAACCAGTGGATCTTAGTGTTAGTTTAATGGAATCAGTATTTTTGAGAGGGAAAAAGGTAATATAAATGATTATAATAGATAAAAGCTGTTCACTAAAATTGTTTTAACACCATTATATAATCAATGACAGTTAACTCACCAACTATGATACTTGGAGCATCAGGCTTTATATAAATGGTGAACTAAATTACATATTATATTGTATTGCATAATAAACGTATGTCAAGGAAATAGCATTTTTACAGATGCAGAATGTATATGTCATTGTTGCATAATAACAGTTATGAAATGGTACCTATCTCCTAGAAAACACAAGTTGAGCTGTGTCACCTGAATTTATTATTTTATTTATGTCTGAAACTCTGGTCACCAATTTAATAATGTAATTTAAGAACAAGACTACTACTGATGCCACATTTCTGCTGCTATATCAAGTCCCTTGGGAACCAACTGAGAACAAAATAGGCCATTGATTGATTTCACTGTTCCCTTTCATTGTAATTTCCCTTCCATTCATTGTTACAAACTCTTGTCCACTTTTGTGGACACTTACTGTTTTTTCTGGTCTATTCTCATCATTTCTGACAGTAGAACAAATATTAACATGATGTTTCTCTGGAAAAATTTTCCCATATTTGTAGTCTTTGTACAAGGACTAAAACTGGGACATTTGTGAGATTTATCAACAAGCTTTTCAGTGAAATAAACCAATTTTAAAAACCCACTCATTTACACAAACATTTATTCCTTGATTTTTGCTTAACCAAGTTTTGGTTGAACTTTATTTGAATCTTTACAATATCCTGCCCTATCCTTAGATAAATCCTGTCCAACTGCACTGGAAACAGGAGTCTAATGCATAGACTTGTTAGTGTGTGCATATCTGCATATACTTGTGTGCATAGACATTCTAAACTATGCACTATCACACTGCAAATTATTATCCTCATGACTTTTTCTTTTGTAAATTGAAATTTTTAAATATATGACATTTTCTAAAAATTACAGACCTGCATTCTGATTAATTTTAAAAGTAATTAAGGCAAATTTTAAGTCAATGTTGAGTATTTAATAGTAGATCAATTGAAGAATTGGCCGTCTCAAGGCAGATTGCATCCTTGTCACTGGAAGTGTATTAGCAAAAGCTGGACATTTCATTGAAGGGATTTTGTAGTAGGAATTCTCATGATTAAATTCCAGTCAGATTATAATATCTCTGATGTTCCTTTCAATGCAGATATTTTGTGATTTATAAGCTCATAGTTTGTTCAGATCAGAGAACTATTGGCACCAGGTAGAAATGAAAAGAAATAATCAAGCACTTCACTTTAAGGCACTTAAGAGACTTAGGTAAGGTCAAATAGAAGATAATATAAAAGGAAATTCAAGGAATATATCAACAATTTGAACTATACACTTTTATCTGACTATACAAGAACTAAAGAAATTTTCACAAGGATAGTTAATGAAAAAAGATTTCTACTAGATCTATTTGAGTCCAATCACAGGGATAATACATTCACTTTGACAATTTTTCTAAAAGTCCAGTCCCTCAAACTTCTCAATTTCAATTACTTTTTTTCCTTGAAACCACTGTCAGACAATACCATACAGCAGTCTTTCCCAAAGAAGTAAATAACAATTCCAAATTCTGTGTATTTAAACACACTGTGTAGTCAAATCACTTTTATCAACTAACAAACTTATGAAAAAAATAGACAAATCTACCATCATACTTCAAGACTTTAATACTCCCTTCTCAATAGTAAGTAATAGGGAAAAATATAATGATGAACATTATTTGAACACTTCCAAATATCATGACTTAATTTATTGAACATTATTTTCAAGTACGGTAACAAGTACTTTCTTTTCAAGTGCATATGGAACACTTACCAAGGCAGACCATATGCTGAATCATGAAACAAGTCTCAATCAAGTCCAAGGAATTAAAACACACAGAGTATGTTTTCTGGCTTCAAAAAAAAAAATAAATAAATTGAATTAGAAATGCTGAAAAAAATATATCTAGAAATTCTCAAATATTTAAAGATTAAATAATACAATTCTAAATTATGAGTTACAGAAGAAAACATTTAAAAAGAACATATTTTTAAGTAATGATATTTCAAAGATAATGTACAAAAATAAGTGAAATATCCTAAACAAATGCTAAATAGTAAAGTTATAGTTTGTAATGCTTTTATTAAAAATAATCTAACATGTCTTTTTAAAAAACAATGATAAAAGAACACAATAAAGCAAAAATAAGTACAAAGAATAAATAAGTAAATAGCACAAATCATTACAATAGAAAACAGGCATACAGCATGGAAAATCAACAAGGACAAAAGATGATTCTTCGAAAGACTAATAAAAATAATAACCTCCTTGCAAGACTGATCAAGTGGAAAGGAGGGATAAATGACTAATGTCAACAAAAAGATGGAGGGCCTCCACAGATTCTGCAGACACACAATGACTATTACGTGAATATTATAAGCAACTTTTTTGCCAACACATTTGATTAAATAGACAAAATCCTTAAAAAATACACAGCAAAATTTATTTAACAAATTCATAAGTAAAATCATGTAACATGTAGTAAAAAGTGATATATTAATATTCCAGTAGATTAAATATGGAAATATTATTTTGTAACTCCGCTCATCAAGAAGTCTTAGGTTTCTTTCCTTTTCCATAAGGAATGCATCATATTTTTACCTAAGTAAATTTTTTAGCCTGTTTCCTGTCTGTAGAAATTGGAGAACTCATAGGCAATTTTTATGCAGCCACATGAATAAGCTTAAGCAAAAATGGTAGAAAACCCACCTCACCAACACCCAAATTATAAGCAATGATAAACCATTGTTGTTTTAAACCACCACATTTTGAAATACTTTCTTAGCAGCACTATATAACATACAATGAAAGAAGTAAAACTCTGCTTGCAGATGAAATGACTGTTTGACTGTTTGAAATGACTGCAGAACTGTAGGTATCTACACAAAAACTACTTTGTTGATTATCCTACTGTTAAGTGGAGAGAGTTAACATTACAAGATACAAGATAAATGTAGAAACATCAATTTCATCTCTAGTAAAGGACAATTTAAAATATAAATTAAATATATAACACCATTTATTGTAGCATAAGATAGAAAATTTCTAAAATAAATTCAAAAATATGTGCAAGACAAATACACTAAAAAGTAAACAGTGTTGAGAAAAAAAATGTAAAGACTCAAATACCTGGAAAGGCATACTGCGTTTATGATCTGAAGTTTCAAAGGCTTTAAGATGATATTGCAACAGAGTTTTGAAGAAATTGAAAACTAATTTTAAAATTTGTAAAGAAATCAAAATGGCCTAGAATAGCCAAAGCGACTTTAATTAAAAAAAAAACTAAGAGGATTTATACTACCTGATTTCAAAATATATTATAAAATTATAATAATCAAGGCAGTGGAAGTTTAGTATAATGATAAATGAATAGATCACTAGAGCAGATTGGAGTGTCCAGAAATAGATCCACACCTATATAGCAAATGGATATTTGACAAAATTGTAAAGGTATTACAGTGGGGAAAAGATCATTTTTAACTAATATTTCTGTAACCATTAAAAATCCTATGCAAAACAAACACAAAAATTCACTTTGATCCATATTTTATTCCATATTTTAAAAGTTACTTAAAATGAGTCATAAACATAAGTGTAAAATCTAAAATTATAAATATTTTAAGAAGAAAACAGAATAGAAATTATGTTTAACCTAGGTTAAGGCCAGTGCTTACTGGATATGACACTAGAACCATGCTCCATAAAATACCTAAGACTTTATCAAAAGTAGAAACTTTTGCTCTTAAGAAAACAAAAAGACAAGCCATATGTTGGGGGAAAATATCAAATATTATAAATAGTATAACTAATAAAGAAATTAGATCCAGATATAACAAACAACCAAAACTCAATAAAACAAACACGCAAACCAATTTGAAGAAAATGAGCAAAAGATTTCACAGTTTCTACATCAAAGAAGATATATAAATGTCAAGTAAGCACCTTAAAAATGCTTACCATTAGTTAATAGGGAAATGTAGATTGAAACCATAATATAATACAACTATATACCTATTAGAATGTCTAAAATTTCAAAAGACTGATCACACCTGGTGTTGGTGAAAATTTGGAACAACTGGAATGCTGATACACTGCTAGACAGAATGTAAATGGTAAAAACATTCTGAATAAGAATTTGAATGTTTCTTAAAAAGTTAATGCATATGCTAATTGGCTCTATTTAGTCATTCCACAATGTATACATAATTTAAAACATCATGTTAAACAACAGAAATATATACAATTTTAATTTGTCAATTAAACAAATATTTTTAAAGTTAAGCATACACCCACCATATGACCTAAATTTTCTGCTCCTCACTATTTACCCAAGAAAAATTAAAGCATATGTCCATACAAAGACTTGCATACAAATATACATAGTAGCATTATTAAAAATAACCTAAAACTGAAAACTACTCCAAAATGTTCATCAATAGAATAATGTATTTACAAATGATGGTATATTCATGAAGTAAATTACTATTCAGTAATAAACATGAGCAAATAGTGGTAATTATATAGATGAATAACAAAAAGTATTATGATAATGAAAAAGCCAGCTACAAAATATATATATTTTATGGCTCCCTTTTCATGAAATTCAAGAATAGTTACTAGTACTCTGTGGAATTAGCAATCAGGACACCAGTTACATGTGGAATAACAGGCAGATTGACTAGAAAAATGTACAAGGAAACATTTGAGAGCAATTACAATATTCCATATGTGGATTTCCTTATGAGGGAATTAAAAACTCAGTAAACTGTGCAGTCAAGGTCTATGCATTTGACTAGATGTAATCTGATTTCATTAAAAGAAGAAAAGAAACATTTTGGCAATAAAATATTTCAATACATGGATCATAAAGAAGTTTTTCTAAGCATAGAGCTAAAAGTGATAGCGAATAGGAGAAAAATATTACAGAATTACAATTTATTCCCAAGAGGTCCCAAATCTGAATAACAGGAGTTCCAGGAAGAGAAAGCTGATGGAATAAAGAAGTAATTATCAAATAAAGAATATAAGATATTTTATTTGGACAAAGGCCATGTTTACTGCTTACGTGCAGAGAATCTAAAAACAGATTTCCTGGGTTAAGTTCCATCTACCAATAAGTAATTGTACAACCTCCAGCAAATTACTCAATCTCTGTGTTCCTAAATTTTCTTATCTTTAAAACAGAGATAATTGAAATACTTTCCTTAGGTTGCTCTGAGAATTACATAAGTTTAGATATACAAAGCACTTTGAATAGCTGCTGGCTATGCAAATATTACTTGTATAATTGTTATTAAAGGAAACATATAAATTTATAAAATGAAAAATATCATTAAATATTAAGCAAATTAAACAAAATAGACTCACACTAAGATGTGTTACCATGAAATTTCAAAAGCCTGGAAACCAACAAACCAACAGATGAAGCTTTCCAAAAGATGGAAAGAGAAAAAGGGGAAAAGGAAGCTGCTTACTTACAAAGGCTTAGAATCACAATGGCATTACATTTTTTAAAAGCACCAAAGGAATATAGAATTTAGTGTAAAATAAATTATGAAAACAAAATATGAATATATAAGACCTACAAGGAATTTCCTACCAGATGAATTGAGGTAGTAATAAAAGAATAAACAAGAAAGTGAAATACATGAGACTTAGGAAAAAGAGAATCTGCTCAAATGGAATAAGGAGAAATCCTGGTATAAAGAGCAGGTCTAGAACTCACTGGGTCCAGATGGGAACAGGAGGTAGAAGATTCACAGAAGTGTTATCAAGGAAAAGAGAGATTTCACAGATCTGATATCAGTCTGAAAATATTAGAAGAATTAATGGGTTTTGATTTTTTAAAAAAGGTATTGTGAAAGAAAAAAAATAGCCAAAACACTTTGAAAATCAACACAAGAAAGAAGGGTATAACACTATTACCTACTCTATTTTTGCTCTGTAGCAAGCAGTATCTATGTAGTCAAAATAATGCTTATTAGTATTTGACTTAGAATCAGCCTATACAGTGAAAGTAAAAAGTCAGTTAAGAACTGAAAGAAGGTGGAGGATAAAAGAGGATGAGTTTTAGAATTTCTAATATCCTCATCTTTCAGTCAGGATTTGAAATAATGTCTATAGTGAATGGAACAAAAATACAGAAATAACTATTCTTTGAAGTGCCAAGTAACCAAAAAAGAAACTAAAAATGGCAAGGTGAATATATTGAGATGAGGAGGAGGAGGTATGGAGAATCCAAGCAAAGTAAATAGTCAGGAAATAAAACTAAAAATAAAAATACTGCTTAAAGTGGATATATCAATACATTGAGGTTTCTTTGTTTCATTTAAAAATATACCCTAAGAAACAATAAAATAAAATAAAAAGTGGTATCTATTTCTGAAACTGGCAGTTGAGTGTATTATAATAGCGCCATGAACAATTCCATTTCCTTATAATTCTACTGCAATTTCTACTATCTCATTTTTATCTTTTATGCATGTATTTATTTCATAGGAGTAAGAAAAATTACTGAAGAATACTACAAAGGTGTGAAATACAATATTAATCAGTGAGTAGAGAAGATGAAAAATAAGTAAACAAAATAGAATCCACAGACAGATCAGAGAAGATATGCAGATGCCATATATAATCATGCTAAAGATATGATATCAAATTAGTATTAAAATATTAATTATACTATTGGGGCAATTGATTATATACAAGGAAAGGAACAAGATTAGATCCTTATATCACAAAATGCATAATACTGTATCTTACATGAATTTCAGAACCAATTATTTAAAATACTCTTGAATGGCAAGAAAATATAGGGAATTTATTTTACCATTTGTGGTGAAGAAGGTCTTCCTAGGCAAGAACAAAAACCTAAAACCAGAAAGAAAAAGACTGCAGGGTTGATTACTATTGAACACTTCTGTTTAAAAATAGCCATAAACAATGTTAAAAAGCACATAACAGGAGGAGGAGCCAAGATGGCCCCATAGGAACAGCACCCGTCTACAGCTCCCAGCGTGAGCGACGCAGAAGACCGGTGATTTCTGCATTTCCCTCTGAGGTACCGAGTTCATCTCACTAGGGAGTGCCAGACAGTGGGCGCAGGTCAGTGGGTGCGCGCACCATGCACGAGCCGAAGCAGGGCGAGGCATTGCCTCACTTGGGAAGCACAAGGGGTCAGGGAGTTCCCTTTCTGAGTCAAAGAAAGGGGTGACGGAAGGCACCTGGAAAATCGGGTCACTCCCACCTGAATACTGCGCTTTTCCGACGGGCTTAAAACACGGCGCACCACGAGATTACGTCCCGCACCTGGCTCGGAGGGTCCTACGCCCACGGAGTCTCGCTGATTGCTAGCACAGCAGTCTGAGATCAAACTGCAAGGCGGCAGCGAGGCTGGGGGAGGGGCGCCCGCCATTGCCCAGGCTTGATTAGGTAAACAAAGCAGCCAGGAAGCTCGAACTGGGTGGAGCCCAACACAGCTCAAGGAGGCCTGCCTGCCTCTGTAGGCTCCACCTCTGGGGGCAGGGCACAGACAAACAAAAAGACAGCAGTAACCTCTGCAGACTTAAATGTCCCTGTCAGACAGCTTTGAAGAGAGCAGTGGTTCTCCCAGCATGCAGCTGGAGATCTGAGAACGGGCAGACTGCCTCCTCAAGTGGGTCCCTGACCCCTGACCCCCAAGTAGCCTAACTGGGAGGCACCCCCCAGCAGGGGCACACTGACACCTCACAGGGCAGGGTACTCCAACAGACCTGCAGCTGAGGGTCCTCTCTGTTAGAAGGAAAACTAACAAACAGAAAGGACATCCACACCAAAAACCCATCTGTACATCACCATCATCAAAGACCAAAAGTAGATAAAACCACAAAGATGGGGAAAAAACAGAACAGAAAAACTGGAAACTCTAAAAAGCAGAGCGCCTCTCCTCCTCCAAAGGAACGCAGCTCCTCACCAGCAAGGGAACAAAGCTGGATGGAGAATGACTTTGACGAGCTGAGAGAAGAAGGCTTCAGACGATCAAATTACTCTGAGCTATGGGAGGACATTCAAACCAAAGGCAAAAAGTTGAAAACTTTAAAAAAAATTTAGAAGAATGTATAACTAGAATAACCAATACAGAGAAGTGCTTAAAGGAGCTGATGAGCTGAAAACCAAGGCTCGAGAACTACGTGAAGAATGCAGAAGCCTCAGGAGCTGATGCAATCAACTGGAAGAAAGGGTATCAGCAATGGAAGATGAAATGAATGAAATGAAGCGAGAAGGGAAGTTTAGAGAAAAAAGAATAAAAAGAAATGAGCAAAGCCTCCAAGAAATACGGGACTATGTGAAAAGACCAAATCTACGTCTGATTGGTGTACCTGAAAGTGATGGGGAGAATGGAACCAAGTTGGAAAACACTCTGCAGGATATTATCCAGGAGAACTTCCCCAATCTAGCAAGGCAGGCCAACGTTCAGATTCAGGAAATACAGAGAACGCCACAAAGATACTCCTCGAGAAGAGCAACTCCAAGACACATAATTGTCAGATTCACCAAAGTTGAAATGAAGGAAAAAATGTTAAGGGCAGCCAGAGAGAAAGGTCGGGTTACCCTCAAAGGGAAGCCCATCAGACTAACAGCGGATCTCTTGGCAGAAACCCTACAAGCCAGAAGAGAGTGGGGGCCAATATTCAACATTCTTAAAGAAAAGAATTTTCAACCCAGAATTTCATATCCAGCCAAACTAAGCTTCATAAGTGAAGGAGAAATAAAATACTTTACAGACAAGCAAATGCTGAGAGATTTTGTCACCACAAGGCCTGCCTTACAAGAGCTCCTGAAGGAAGCACTAAACATGGAAAGGAACAACCGGTACCAGCCGCTGCAAAATCATGCCAAAATGTAAAGACCATCGAGACTAGGAAGAAACTGCATCAACTAACGAGCAAAATAACCAGCTAACATCATAATGACAGGATCAAATTCACACATAACAATATTAACTTTAAATGTAAATGGACTAAATGCTCCAATTAAAAGACACAGACTGGCAAATTGGATAAAGAGTCAAGACCCATCAGTGTGCGTATTCAGGAAACCCATCTCACGTGCAGAGACACACATAGGCTCAAAATAAAAGGATGGAGGGAGATCTACCAAGCCAATGGAAAACAAAAAAAGGCAGGGGTTGCAATCCTAGTCTCTGATAAAACAGACTTTAAACCAACAAAGATCAAAAGAGACAAAGAAGGCCATTACATAATGGTAAAGGGATCAATTCAGCAAGAAGAGCTAACTATCCTAAATATATATGCACCCAATACAGGAGCACCAAGATTCATAAAGCAAGTCCTGAGTGACCTACAAAGAGACTTAGACTCCCACACATTAATAATGGGAGACTTTAACACCCCACTGTCAATATTAGACAGATCAATGAGACAGAAAGTCAACAAGGATACCCAGGAATTGAACTCAGCTCTGGACCAAGCGGAACTAATAGACATCTACAGAACTCTCCACCCCAAATCAACAGAATATACATTTTTTTCAGCACCACACCACACCTATTCCAAAATTGACCACATACTGGGAAGTAAAGCTCTCCTCAGCAAATGTAAAAGAACAGAAATTACAACAAACTGTCTCTCAGACCACAGTGCAATCAAACTAGAACTCAGGATTAAGAATCTCACTCAAAACCGCTCAACTACATGGAAACTGAACAACCTGCTCCTGAATGACTACTGGGTACATAACAAAATGAAGGCAGAAACAAAGATGTTCTTTGAAACCAACGAGAACAAAGACACAACATACCAGAATCTCTGGGACACATTCAAAGCAGTGTGTAGAGGGAAATTTATAGCACTAAATGCCCACAAGAGAAAGCAGGAAAGATCCAAAATTGACACCCTAACATCACAATTAAAAGAACTAGAAAAGCAAGAGCAAACACATTCAAAGGCTAGCAGAAGGCAAGAAATAACTAAAATCAGAGCAGAACTGAAGGAAATAGAGACACAAAAAACCCTTCAAAAAATTAATGAATCCAGGAGCTGGTTTTTTGAAAGGATCAACAAAATTGATAGACCGCTAGCAAGACGAATAAAGAAAAAAAGAGAGAAGAATCAAATAGATGCAATAAAAAATGATAAAGGGGATATCACCACCGATCCCACAGAAATACAAACTACCATCAGAGAATACTACAAACACCTCTACACAAATAAACTAGAAAATCTAGAAGAAATGGATAAATTCCTTGACACATACACTCTCCCAAGACTAAACCAGGAAGAAGTGGAATCTCTGAATAGACCAATAACAGGCTCTGAAATTGTGGCAATAATCAATAGCTTACCAACCAAGAAGAGTCCAGGACCAGATGGATTCACAGCCGAATTCTACCAGAGGTACAAGGAGGAACTGGTACCATTCCTTCTGAAACTATTCCAATCAATAGAATAAGAGGGAATCCTCCCTAACTCATTTTATGAGGCCAGCATCATTCTGATACCAAAGCCAGGCAGAGACACAACCAAAAAAGAGAATTTTAGACCAATATCCTTGATGAACATTGATGCAAAAATCCTCAATAAAATACTGGCAAACTGAATCCAGCAGCACATCAAAAAGCTTATCCACCATGATCAAGTGGGCTTCATCCCTGGGATGCAAGGCTGGTTCAATATACGCAAATCAATACATGTAATCCAGCATATAAACAGAGCCAAAGACAAAAACCACATGATTATCTCAATAGATGCAGAAAAAGCCTTTGACAAAATTCAACAACCTTCATGCTAAAAACTCTCAATAAATTAGGTATTGATGGGATGTATCTCAAAATAATAAGAGCTATCTATGACAAACCCACAGCCAATATCATACTGAATGGGAAAAAACTGGAAGCATTCTCTTTGAAAACTGGCACAAGACAGGGATGCCCTCTCTCACCACTCCTATTCAACATAGTGTTGGAAGTTCTGGCCAGGGCAATTAGGCAGGAGAAGGAAATAAAGGGTATTCAATTAGGAAAAGAGGAAGTCAAATTGTCCCTGTTTGCAGACGACATGATTGTATATCTAGAAAACCCCATTGTCTCAGCCCAAAATCTCCTTAAGCTAATGAGCAACTTCAGCAAAGTCTCAGGATACAAAATCAATGTACAAAAATCACAGGCATTCTTATACACCAATAACAGACAAACAGAGAGCCAAATCATTAGTGAACTCCCATTCACAATTGCTTCAAAGAGAATAAAATACCTAGGAATCCAACTTACAAGGGATGTGAAGGACCTCTTCAAGGAGAACTACAAACCACTGCTCAAGGAAATAAAAGAGGATACAAACAAATGGAAGAACATTCCATGCTCATGGGTAGGAAGAATCAATATCATGAAAATGGCCATACTGCCCAAGGTAATTTACAGATTCAATGCCATCCCCATCAAGCTACCAATGACTTTCTTCACAGAATTGGAAAAAACTACTTTAAAGTTCATATGGAACCAAGAAAGAGCCCGCATCGCCAAGTCAATCCTAAGCCAAAAGAACAAAGCTGGAGGCATCACACTACCTGACTTCAAACTATACTACAAGGCTACAGTAACCAAAACAGCATGGTACTGGTACCAAAACAGAGATATAGATCAATGGAACAGAACAGAGCCCTCAGAAATAATGCCGCATATCTACAACTATCTGATCTTTGACAAACCTGAGAAAAACAAGCAATGGGGAAAGGATTCCCTATTTAATAAATGGTGCTGGGAAAACTGGCTAGCCATATGTAGAAAGCTGAAACTGGATCCCTTCCTTACACCTTATACAAAAATCATTCAAGATGGATTAAAGACTTAAACTTTAGACCTAAAACCATAAAAACCCTAGAAGAAAACATAGGCATCACCATTCAGGACATAGGCATGTGCAAGGACTTCGTGTCTAAAACACCAAAGGCAATGGCAACAAAAGCCAAAATTGACAAATGGGATCTAATTAAACTAAAGAGCTTCTGCACAGCAAAAGAAACTACCATCAGAGTGAACAGGCAACCTACAAAATGGGAGAAAAGTTTCGCAACCTACTCATCTGACAAAGGGCTAATATCCAGAATCTACAATAAACTCAAACAAATTTACAAGAAAAAAACAAACAACCCCATCAAAAAGTGGGCAAAGGACATGAACAGACACTTCTCAAAAGAAGACATTTATGCAGCCAAAAAACACATGAAAAAATGCTCATCATCACTGGCTATCAGAGAAATGGAAATCAAAACCACAATGAGATGCCATCTCACACCAGTTAGAATGGCAATCATTAAAAAGTCAGGAAACAACAGGTGCTGGAGAGGATGTGGAGAAATAGGAACACTTTTACACTGTTGGTGGGACTGTAAACTAGTTCAACCATTGTGGAAGTCAGTGTGGTGATTCCTCAGGGATCTAGAACTGGAAATACCATTTGACCCAGCCATCCCATTACTGGGTCTATACCCAAAGGACTATAAATCATGCTGCTATGAAGACACATGCACACCTATGTTTAATGCGGCATTATTCACAATAGCAAAGACTTGGAACCAACCCAAATGTCCAACAATGATAGACTGGATTAAGAAAGTGTGGCACATATACACCATGGAATACTATGCAGGCATAAAAAATGATGAGTTCATGTCCTTTGTAGGGACATGGATGAAATTGCAAATCATCATTCTCAGTAAACTATCGCAAGAACAAAAAACCAAACACCGCATATTCTCACTCATAGGTGGGAATTGATCAGTGAGATCACATGGACACAGGAAGGGGAATATCACACTCTGGGGACTGTTGTGGGGTGGGGGGAGGGGGGAGGGATAGCATGGGGAGATATACCTAATGCTAGATGACGAGTTAGTGGGTGCAGCACACCAGCATGGCACATGTATACATATGTAACTAACCTGCACAATGTGCACATGTACCCTAAAACTTAAAGTATAATAAATAAATAATAATAATAATAATAAAATAAATAAATAAAAAGCACGTAACAGACAGGAATGAAATATCTGCAGCATCTGCAGCAGACAAACAATATCTATACAAATAAAATTGTCAAATGACATGAACCATAAATAAGTGAAAAGGCAATAAACTTAATTTACAGTTTTAAATGCAAATTAACACAATATTATCATTTCAGTGATAATTTTGATAAAAATGAAGTTTTGATAGAATTCCCCATGTTTAACTTCTTGTTCCTGGTGTTTATTGATAATTTGATAATTCTGTATTTCTTGTATGAAAATTTTCTAACTACATTTGGTTTCTTTTAGTAGTTGATTTTGAAAAATTATATTTTTCCTAGGAAATTATCGATTACATCATGTTTTTAAATTTATATGTATGGATTATGCAAATAGTTTTGATAAATTTTTAAAATTCTTTGTTCCGATGGTTATTTTCCTTATTTCATATTTTATATATTTGCGCTTTTTCCCTTTTTTCTTGATACATTTTCCTTGTTTGTCTATTTGATGATTTTAAATGATTTCTATTGAATTATTGGTTCGTTTTTCTTATTTCTAATTAATATATGCCTATGTTTTTATTAATTTCTAACTTCCAATTTCTTTTGTTTTTTTCTTGATTTTCTAACTTAAAATTTGTACCTTTATTCTTCTTTATTCGTTTATTTTTTCATATCATGGTTTGATGCTATTTTTTATTGTGCTCTGCTTTAATTGTACCTGACACATCCTGATTTGTAGCTTTCCATTGTCATTATTTTTAGAACTTTCTTAATTTCACTTTATATCCCCCTTTATTGCTAGACATGTTTAATAAATATTTCAAAATTTTTCTATGGAGGGTTTTCTGTTTGTTTTTATTTTATTATTATGTTAGATTTTTATTGTAGTTTGATCAGTTAACATTTTTGGCATTATTTCTACCTTATTAGAAAATAATTAATAAATTTCAAAATGGTAATTTTGAAAAAATAAGCAATAAAAATAAAACAAAATTTGATTACCTTTTGATCCATGCAGTCTATTCTCATCTTTCTATTACCACTTTATTACATCTCTATAGAAAGATTCACAAAATAAAGATAAAATACTATTCATTGTTTCAGATTTTGTACTTACATTTGTAAATTTGTAAATTTTTTACAAAAAAATTTGTAAATAATTTTTGTTCATCAATCGTTTATTTCATTCTTCTTAATGGTTGTATATTCCAAGGCATAGTTATGTTATATTATGGCTATAACTTCTCCAAGTGTGTTGGGTTACCTAAGTGAGGTATATGCCTATCAGTAGCATTAAAATTCATACAAAAATAACATATGAAAATAACATATAATATATAAAATTCTATATATGTTATATATTTGATTTATATATATAATATATTATAAATAGACCTAAAATATATGTAGGTCTACTTCATTCTTCTTATATTATATAATATATAATATTATATATATACTGACAATGTCCTTAAGGCATGTTAAGAAAGACATTAAAACAAAATCTCAAGAAAACATGTACACAAAAATACATTCAATTTTAACAATATATTTACAAATGTAATCATAAACACACGTAACAGAGATTGGGATTATTCACACCATACTATAATAGAAGTGGGACTGACAGATGTCCGGAAAGAGTAAGGGGAACAACTCTGGACTAAGGTCTAGAACCTCCCCCCTGTAGACCAGATCAATGCTAGAATTTTTCTGAAACCCCATTCTCGCTCAGAGCCTATTTTCCTTCTTCCTTTACGCCTTCTTTACAGCATTTTGTGAAGAGCACACTCAATAAACCATGGGCCCTCAAATCCCTATCTTGGTATTGTTTCTAGGGAAGCTCTCGTTGACTGGTAGGTATTAGTGTAAAGAGACAGGGCTAAAGCACAATATAGACTCAAATATAAGAGAGGCTAAATATGAGACAGATGGAATGTGGTGTGTAGAAGCTGTTTTTACGTGAAATCAAGACATTTCCCCAAAGATGACACTTCATCAAACAGTATCCCTGAAATACGAGAATAAAGTTTGCAAAAAGTACGTAATCACATAGACTGTCAATAATTTTTTTCAAGACTTTGTGATATCTTTTAGGGGATACATTGCTCTTATACTTTATACTACAAAGTCAAATTTTGTTCTAAGGCATGGATTCCAGCAGTCCAAGTTATTATACACATCACCATATTGAAAAGCATTAAACATGAGAAAATAATACTCTTAAATAGCTCATTAAAATAATTAGTTTGCCAGGATGGTGTACTTCTTGTTTCCTCTAAAACATTTTGATATATCTTTATAATAGTCAATTATTTTAATTAAAATGTAAAAGAACAATATGAACACCTCACTAAAACAAATTTTTAGAAAACTTAACAAAACTCAATCAGAGTTGAAAAGACAGTGTAGAAATCCTTTGTTTTTCTGGCTTACCTAGGAATTATTGTATTATATACTTTCACTTTTTTTTTTTTTTTTTTTAAGAAAGAGTCTTGCTCTGTTACCCAGGCCTTAAGTGCAGTGGCATGATCATAGCTCATTACAACCTTTAACTCCTGGGCTCAAGCAATCCTTCTCCCTCAGCCTGGCAAGTAGCTAGGACTATAGGTGAGCACCACCATGATTGGGAACTTTTATTATTATTATTATTATTAATTTGTAGAGACAGGGTCTTGTTTTGTTGCCTAGGCTGGTCTTAAACTCCTGGGCTCAAGTATTCCTCTTGCCTCAGCCTCCCAAATGGCTGGGATTACAGGTGTGAGCCATTGGGCTCAGTTTTGTAATATATTTTTAAAGTCAATGAATGGAAACTTATTTAGCATATTTGTCAGAGGTCAGAAATAACACACACACACACGCAGTCTAATGGAATACACCAAAAAAGTTCTGATTAGATGCTATGATTTTTAAAAATGTATTATTCAATTTTTTAAAACTTTTAGACATCACTAATAAAAGGTGCTTAGTCCTATGAAAGAAGACATTAAAGCAAATTTGCCATCAGAGATTACCTAGCAGAACTATAAATCACAGTCACTTAGTGGTGTATCTATAACTACTTAGCATGACAAAATCGGATAGCGATTAGATGATTTATGAGGTACAGAGAAAGAGAACCCCTCAAGGGGAATATTCAAAGATACCAAAATATTTGAACATAAAAAGAATGTTTTACTTTTCTTAATATCAATTCAGATCTATATGAGGGAGAAAAAAATCTAGTGGGTAATTTAAGCATAATTTTATGGAGTTAAATATGAAAAATAAAAACTGAAAATGGTTCTAAGAAGATGATAAACAATAACAAAAATTCTTACAGTACTATAAATACAGGGTATAAACTTTTTCCCTCTCAAAAAATAAAAAATCTAATCTAGCAGAATATTAAAATCAGTATATTTTAATAGATAAAACATAGGATTGTAATTCTTGTTTAAACTCAAGCTTCATAATCTATTCATTTTTAATCTTTGCAATATTATTTAACTTCTCTGAAAATCAGTTTACTCATTTATAGAGTAGGGATTAAAATACCTATTGCTTAAGGCTGTTTTGAAAATTAAACAAGTTATCAAATATAAATTTGGGAAACAGAGAATATCAACCATGCACATTTGGTTTTTCTATTGAAATGGCTTGAATTTTACCACTTCTGTTTTAAAAAATAAGTGGAGGACTGGGCACAGTGGTTCACACCTGTAATCCCAACAATTTGGGAGGCCGAAGCAGGCGGATCATGTGAGGTCAGGGGTTCGAGAACAGCCAGGCCAACAGGGTGAAACTCTGTCTCTATTAAATATACAAAAAAAATTAGCCAGGTATGGTGGCACGCACCTGTAGTCCCAGCTATTCGGGAGGCCGAGGCACGAGAATTGCTTGAACCCGGGAGGCAGAGGTTGCAGTGAGCCGAGATCACGCCACTGCACTCCAGCCTGGGACACAGAGGGAGACTCTGTCTCAATAAAAATAAAAATAAAAATAAATAAATAAATAAATAAAAGTTAAGTGGAGGTAAGAATATAAGTGTGTTGAGTTACCTAAATGAGGTATATACCTATCAGTAGCAGTGAAATTCATATAACTAGATAGTGGGCTAAACAGCTGATTTTCTGTTCAATACATTGTTTTGTTTCCCTTGGACTCCATTGAAACATAGTGGAATTAAGGCAAGAAAAACTTTCAAACAGCTCTCTGTATAGAAAACTATTGTATAAAGACCTCGATATGGTCAAGAAATCTAGGAAGAGTCTGATTTTAGACAACTCAGCAGTTGTCTCTGGTCTAGTCAAAAACAATGACAAACATTTATTAAGGTCTACATGCCTCACAATATTCAAACTATGTTAAATGCATTGATTAAATTGAATCACTAATAAGATAGTAATCACTTGTAAGATAGTAATATTATTCTAATCACTTATAAGATAGTAATATTATTATCATTTATGGTGGTCAAGATAAAGTTACATGGCTTCTGGATTCATGTCCTGCCAGAGTTAGAAGCAGATGTATTTAAAAACAAACAAACAAACAAATATGAAATAAAAAGTAAATGTATGAATACATAAATATACAAAATAAGATAATCTGATGTATACATTTTAGAAAGGAGCAGAGTTATGTGCTAATGAAGTCTGCTTGGAGCCTGGTAGGGTTCCCCTCTCCCCTTTGAAGCTTTTTAATCAATTTTCCTTCTGGCACTAAGATGTGTTTTCAGGTATCCAACCAGAATGTCTTCCAGGACTCTGGGACAGAAGGAGACTCAGGCAGAAAGAGGCAGCCACAGGCAGTCTCCTCTTGAATAGAAGGAATCAGTTATGGCCCCATGAGGACAATGAACATCTTGTTTTGTTTTGGATGGCTCTAATTTCAACACATTGCTTCTAAATAGTTGACTATAATTCTAAAGCATCTTTCCACCCCTTCCATTCATACTTGTAGAAATGCACTCCTTCTCCAGCCTAGTACTTAGAAAACAAGAGTATCTTCCGAGACAACCAAGCCATGACTTTCCATATCTTGGGGATTTTGAACTGTGAGAAAAGAAGTCTGTATACCTGGGCTAAGATGTGAAAGAAATTAAGATGAACTCTGCCGATTCCTGCTCCTTTTTTTTTCAAAGATTTAAAACTTATTTTATTCAACTCAGTGGAACTTTCTCTTCAATATCAAAAAATAGTGGGTAGGTTTATTTCCATATCCTTTAAGAAGCGTGGTTTTTATCCTTCCTTCAACTCTATTTTAACTACTAAAAACTGACAGTCTCCAAACTTAGCATAGAATTAAAGAATAAGTATTGCTTTTTCACAGAATGTGTGCTATGGCTCCTGATACCATTTACAATAAGTGCAGTAGTACTAACACAGCAGAGTCACTGTGTAAGGCCAGGTTGGTGGCCATTAAAGGACATGGAAAGAATGCCAATATCAAGGAAGATGTGGCATCTTTCTTCGTAAAGTCCTTTAAAAAAAGCAAAATAATAATTTCTAATATATAAAATAACTATAACTGATGGAATGAAGTTTTGATTTTGATGCCGCATGTAGACTTTTTTGAGTTGGAATAATTTTAATTCATTTAAAAATATATTGAAAATATTCATTTCCATGATAATATGGTATTGTTTTAAAATAATCCCTTTAAAGCAAAAAATATTGGTTTAAAGAAAATACAGATACTATTTAGAAAGGGCAATAATTTACAAATCTGAGTATAATCTAGGAAATGTTGGGCTAGACAAATACTATATCCAGGATTGGATTGGAAACTTTAAACTCTGTTCTTTGGAACTGGTTGCTTTTAGGCTGCAAGCAGATAGACTAACCCAACAACTCGTTTCAGATTCAAAGGTCGAAGAGCTGCATTTTAGCTGCTATTTTTCAAACATGCACAGACTTTTACATATTAGTAGCTACAGAGCAATGCCAGTATTCTCATTTAACTCTTCTAATAAATAAATACACAGTCCAAATGTTAGGAATATATTTTTACCTTGTCTCTGCAAACAGAATTTAGCATTTTAGCACTTTATTTGTCTTGATTTTACTCGTGAAAATTTTTGTTTGGGGGAAAGCAAAAACATCCTGGGACGCAGGAAAGGTCTTTATTTTTCATAAGTGGATTCCAGTAGCAGACATTTATCATTTTACCTGCATTAAAATCTCTTCCCCATGTGTGTCCCTGTGGTTTTTGTGGGGCTGAGCCCTTCCACCGTAATCAGCATTACTGGTGGGTGGAGAGGTAGGAATTACCTCAGGTCTGGACAATTCTAGTGCTCCATCTTCTTCATCACCAGGAGTATTTCAGAGATGAATCTAAGTAAGTTATTTAATTTCTCATTTCAATCTACTAACCACCATCATTGAGTTGTGTACAAACTAAATAACTTTAGAAATGAAGTTAAATAACTTTAGAAATGAAGTTAAATATTCAAAATGTTTGGAACAATGCCTGAAACACTTCCTAAGCACCCCATAAATGTTAGCTATTAATATTACTATTTCTAAATTGATAGGACTTGAGTTTTGGTTAGCAGCATTCCCTTATGCCCAACATAAAGAGGACGTTTTGAAACACTGGATTCACACTTATGACAGCCAATTAATTTCTCCTTATGCATTGATTTAAAGATAATACAAATATAGTTCCTTCTCATTAAACTAAAAAGGTCTCCACTCACACACACGCTTAATAATTTGTTTTCATTTTGTACTATGATCCAACAATGTTGTTTAGACATTTTGTTTCTGAACAATGATACTTATTTGAATATTTGGATATATATTAGAACATTATATGAGTCTGTACATATAATATATAAATACAAAATATATACATATATAATTAGCATGTACCAACTGCAGTGATTTTTCTTTGATTATTGTATATTCTAGTAGGAGACACATGCTACATTTTGCTAGATTAAACAATCATTGAGAGTGATTCTTCACATGATCAGAGCGATAAAATAAATTAATATATTTATCTGTAGACAAATACTTGAAGACAACATTAAAAGTGAAAAAATAAACATTTTATGACTAGAGTGGTAGGATTGCAGGTTAATATTTTCCTTTAAAACTAATGTTACATGATAACTTTTGTTATGGCTAACAAAAGTCTGAGGAAAAAAAGTATCATTTGTGGATATGTGCATTTTTCTAAACTACACTTCTATTGGTGATAATATGTTTGCTTAAAATGCCCACTTCTTTCCTCCTTGCTTCTCAAAATACCATTCATCTTTCAGGGCCTGCCTCAAATCCCACTTCAATAAAGATCTCTCTGACTCCTCAACCTGAAATGAATTCTCCTAGCTCTGAGCTCCCCTGAAATTCTTGTCTGCAAAGTGTATTTAGAAATTAATCATGCATTGTCTTGAGGTAGTGAAAAAAGAGCCTGGGCTTCCGAAGCCAGACAGATTCAGGATGAATCCTGACTCTACTACAAACAGCTGCAATGACCTTGGGCAAGTTATTTGTTTTGTAATAAAAACAGTAATGACCTGATCTTTACCACGTGCTAGGTATGGTTTAAAATGCTTTACATGTATTATCTCATTTAATCCACACAGTGACCCAATAAAATAGATGTTGTTATGAATCCCTTTGTGTAAGTAATGGCATTTGACACACAATGTTCTTATCTTTATATCTGTATCTATACAGTAAAGTATCCAAGGCCACATTGTAAGCAAGTAGCACAAACAGGTTTCAAACCCCAGTGACCTCACTGCAGACTCCATGTTCTTATGCAATATACTATATTGCCTCTAAATTTCTGTGCTAGCAGGTCATGATGCTTACTAAACTCATAGGCCTATGAAGTGGGTGAAATTTATATATATATATATATATACAGTGCATGACTCAGAGTAGGTGTATTACAAATGCTATTTACTGTGTCCCCTGCCTTCTTCCCTATTTATTGTTGCTTTGAACTACCACTTATATCTGTAGTGTACATTATAATAAGCCAGTCAAACACAAATTATTTCAACACACTGTGGCAAAATCTGGACGCAAGGACTTAATTGTAACCATGTTAATATTCCCAATATTTTGTACTTTCCACAATAACTGGAACTGTAGGCATTCTGTCAGTGCTTATTGAATTTTTGTGATAATAGACTTTATTATTATTATTTTTTTTTTTTTTTTTTTTTTTTTTTTTTTTTTTTTTTTTTTTTTTTTTTTTGAGACGGAGTCTCGCTCTGTCGCCCAGGCTGGAGTGCAGTGGCGGGATCTCGGCTCACTGCAAGCTCCGCCTCCCGGGTTCACGCCATTCTCCTGCCTCAGCCTCCCAAGTAGCTGGGACTACAGGCGCCCGCCACTACGCCCGGCTAATTTTTTGTATTTTTAGTAGAGACGGGGTTTCACCGTTTTAGCCGGGATGGTCTCGATCTCCTGACCTCGTGATCCGCCCGCCTCGGCCTCCCAAAGTGCTGGGATTACAGGCGTGAGCCACCGCGCCCGGCCAATAGACTTTACTTTTAACGATTTGCTCTAGAGAAAGTTTTTGGGAAAGGGATTCCTAGTAATAGTCTCTTCCAGGAATAATCCAAACATTAGCATTTCCTAACGTGTGTTCTGTACAGCAAGATGCTCTGTGGGGAAAAAAAAGGACCTGGGCCAAATATATTTGGGAACTATAGCATATTTTCACTCTCATTCTAGAGAATCACAGCTTGCATTAGGATATTTATTAAATCAATATTTATTGAGTACCCCACACTTAATATACAGGGGTAACTAAGGTATAAACAATCTAAGCCCTTATGATTTTATGTTTATCCAGTCTCTGAGAAGTCTTGCAATAAAGAAATAGGTTTTACCTTGTTCAGACCAACATATTTCAGTACATTTGATCAAAATTCTTTTTTTACAGACACACATTTTGACAAATAGAGCCCATCAGTGTTACCCAGAATAATGCTTTTTTCCTCTCCTAACGCAAGTTTTTCCCTGTAGTACTTCAGATTTTTATGGTAAATAAATAAGAGAAAAGGACGATTGAATAGCTAACAGTTCATATTATTATTTAATCAAATATTAAAATAGATTACTAGAAATGTTTAAATTGCAATTCTACTTGGTAGATACCTCATATAGTTAAAATCTTATACACTTGATGTTAAGGAACTGATAATAAGGTGAGGCAAAAGCAAAACATCATTGAAAATTCCTCCTAGAGGTAGAAATGAGCAATTTGTAAGCATAAATTTACAGATTTACCATTGCTAAATTAATGTGTGCAGGATTTTATATAATGTTGGGTCAAACTCATACTCCAGCCTTTGTCATGACACTATAACCTAGTTTCTATAACCTAGTCTAAAATCTCTTTCTCAGGCTGAAATGAAAAAATTAGACACATTTAAACAAATCAGTGACCACTTTTCTGTCACATGTAGATATTTATTGAGGCGATGAGGGGAAACTGGCCTAAATTATCTGGTCTGATCAATTGTCTTAATTCTTTTCCATTTACTCTAATGTATTTTTCATAACTACTAGCCACAAAGAAAGTTATTTTATCAGACTGAATTTATCTTGACACTTCACACTTTTAACCACCTGTTTTATATTCACATTTTCTCTCTCTTTGGTATTAGTGGCTTTTAATGTGTTATCTCCATCTACTTCCATGGATATTTATTCTCCTGACCCTCCAATATTACCCCTTTGCTATTCTCACCTTCTCACTGTGGGTATTATCCAGAATTTAATTCGGAGATCTTTTCTGTGTAACATCTCTATACTTATCCCTATATCATCAGGGATTAAATCAGCACCTCAGACACATCAGGTACTTATCATGCACCTATCAATCCTAAATGGAACTCTAGCCTTGTTTGAATTTCTTTCCAAAATATTCATGTTTGCAATAGGGACCATGTCTATTTTATTTACCTTTTTAGTCCTAGAACCTTGAACAGTGCTTAGAGAGCTAATGCACACTCAATAAATATTTGTTAAATCAGCAAATGAAACCAATCAATTGGACTTATTTAGAAGTAAAAATTTATCAATATCTTGCCCCCAGAATTTACTGTTAAGATGGTATACAGAAATATCTGTAATAGTCAATTCATCAAATCACAATCACTGCTCAGCCAAGTTATTGAATTTTATCTTTTTCATGTCTGATTTATTACTCTGATATGCAATTATTTAGGTTAACATTGTAGTAATAATTTGTCATTCTATAACTAAACATAAGAATAGGTTAAATATATGTATTTTGAGGTCCAAATTTCCAGATGAACACGAGATGATTACATATTTTGTTCAGTCATTCTCTATGCATAATATATCTCAAATTTTATTACTATTGAGGTTACATTTTAAAAATTCCTTAAAGATAGGAATAGTGTCACAGCTTAGCATATACAGTATTTAGCTTTTTGCTATTCACATAGTTGATGCCCAATAAATATTTGTTGACCTAATGAATGATCAACATTAGGATTTACTGAGACATTGTAAGTCATTTTGCATTATTTCTCAGCTTGAATCAATTCTAAAATATGACCGAGTCAGTGTTCAGTACTTCTTGACTCTGCTTGCCATGGCGGACTCCTCATTCTTTTTCCTAGTTGTTTAGTAACTATGATTCCAACTCTGAATATGCCACATACCAAAAAAACTAAATTTTCCTTTCTCACTTCCTCTACTAAAAAGTTGCCTATATTATCTCTCGTTTTCTGGAAGCCAGTTCTCTGAAATATGAGAATCATCATGCTCAATTCGCTGCATGGTTCTGTCTTTACCTATCTCCAGGTGCCATAGAGATACTGTGCATTGATATTTTATAAATAAAAATACTTACTAGGCTAAAACACAACTGAAGCACAATTAAGAAGCTAATACATAAGTTATACAATTGTATTAGCTAGCCGAAAGTGTTGAACAGATTGCTTCTCTCTAGAATAATCTTTTCATTATTTAACATGTTATTCCTCTCATGAAGTGAGATTCAGATACAGAAGGATTAACTGGAATGAACAGGAAGAGTTAGGGAAAGAGGAATGGCAAGTTCACATTATGTCAATTGTAAATCATCATTTTTGTCCGAAGAGAACATTGATTTTTGCCAAATAATTGCTTATTACTTTAAAAATAATTATAGATTAATTTATGAGGATTACAAATTCAGTAGTCTAAAACTTAAACATTAAATCCAATTAAAATAAAATTGGATGAGCATATTATAACATGGAATCAATTGAACCAAATATACAGGTGCCTTGTTTATCCAACTGGACATTTGATAATTCAAAAAAAAATTACTTGGCACATCTTTATGTTTAGTTATAAACTACACATTGTGTTTAAAATGCATCAATATTGTATGATAAGTTAGAACTGATCCCTTTTTAGTGTCTTCTCTAGCTTTCTATAAGTTCCTGGATGGATAATAAAATCTCTATTAATACTTTTATAATGAACTCTCACTGTGAGAAAAAACATGTAGCATTTGAAAACTGTCATGCAATGTACAAAATAGGGACTACATTTGTTACCCATTATCTGATGCTTTATAGCTATGAATTTTTCATATCCTTCTAGCTTCATGTCACCTCAGCTGCTCTGGAATATATCTTGGTTCAAATCAGGGCCAGCCAAACATAAATAAATAAATGAAATTGAACAAGTAGTTCTTGGAGGTCCTTTTCCATGATGTATAGAAAAATCCTTATCTTGTTGAAAAATCGTTATCTCATTTTTAGGAAGGTTGTAATCTTGTAGGTATTGGTTAAAGGTGTGGTTCATTAATACTAATAAATAATTCAAAATTGTTATATTTTCAAATAGTTATTGGATATTAGCAGTTGTTGGGCATAAGAAGACCAGAACACTCATAAATTATATGAGTTTCATAGAACAATAGAAGCTAAGTTTTTAGCTATCCATTTTGTTGTACTTTGGACATTATGTCCTGAATTATCAAAGTCATTTTTATTCTCTTGAGAAATATACTAAATTACAGTTCATAAAAGTCTCTCATGACTTCCACATGGAAAAATAATCTTTCTCTTGTAATGTCTCATTATTTATATTTCAAATATATTTTTCCAAAAGATAGGTGAGCTTAGAGGAATCTCTTAAATTGGGATAGTCTAAATTAGAGAATGAGGTATACTAGGTAGTGAGTTGGTTCTGTTTGCACTCTTGTTTTCACCATGACACCAAGTGTAATAATATTTACCTGCAAAACACACTCCCTCAGTGCTCTGTATTTCCCAAGACCATACTCCAGCTAATTCATCAACTTTTCTTATTCAAGAAAAAATATCAAAAAGTAAGGGTAATGATAGTATAAAAATAAATTGGAATGTATTTTTCTTTCTCTGTAAAATATATCACTCACAAATTTTTATATTTTACTTTTTATTAATAATAAACAACTTGGGGGCAGACCTTACATGACATTTTGCCACATGGTTTAAAACTGCTAATGTAATGTATATGTGCTCTAAGTTAGTTGAACTTTTTGAACCTAAAATAACTTACTGTGATATTTGAATCAAAATGGTACCCATGTTAAACTAATGTTTGTGTTGAACACTGATTGGCTCCTGTGTAGAAATGGGCCTGACTCCTTCCTGTTCTATTAAAGATGATCCAAAGTAGTTTCTTACCTCAACAACTAAATCAGAATTATACAAGTTTTCTCACATTTTAATAACTTCCAGATGGTGGAAAAACTAAAATAAAACTAAGAATTCAACAAAAGTGTGGGAAAATATTAGCATAGTACAAAAGACTAAGAACACTAAGGAAGTTATTTTCAAACTAGTTTTTCCTTGCTTTAAAAAATGCCACTGGCAAGAATAATGATGCTTTCATAATGTTACTAGAGTGCTATATTTGTAAAGCAGCATGTAAGCCTCATAAAAGGGTAATGAGTTCCTTAAGTGATAGTAAAATAAGCTTTCATGTAGAGATATGCTGAGGTACTACTGTTCATGGGCAGCAGAGAGTTGCATTACCTATTTTGTATTGCAATTTTCACTAACACAAAAAAAGGAATTGCAGTAATGGTCACATTTTCCTTCCTGTGACATTAAAAAAAGACTCTAGTGGAGCTCAACTAAGTAGAGAAAATGATAAAATCTTATATAAAATTTATGCTTATTTGGCCATTCTTCTTTATATAAGCATGTTATTTGAGTAGACTAGGAGTTCTTTCCTCTAGCTGATCATAGAATTACTTTCAGATAACAGTTTTCAGTTGATTTGCTCTCTTCTAGATTTTTCAATTATTGTAGCTTCATGAAATATGCATCATTCTTTGACATTTATATTAAATAATACTTGTATTCTCCCTTCCATGTTTACATGTAAAATAATAATCAATCAAAGGAATCATTCAGTATTAGTAAATCTTTTTTTTATAAAACACATATAAGAAAGTTCAAAAAGTCCCTCAATCTACCTCTTTCTTTACAACAGAAAAACTTTATCATATAATTGAAACCCCTTAGGAATAAAAATTTCACAGTAACTTCTATTGGCCAATTGCCTACAAAATCAAGAAGTCTATTCTCTCCTTTCTCACTATTCTTAATTGGATTTCTTGCTCTTTAGCAGCAACAGGAAACAGATGCTCACAGAATTCAGAAATCCCCAGTAAGTGACAGGTACATGAAATATCTTAGCATTTTGTTATATTAATTTTGTCAAAGCAACATGTTAGGGTGAGGGGAGAGATTATATCTACGAAGCTTGTGAGAACAATTCTAAAATATTGAAATGGAAATTATGACTTGTGAGGCAGAAATTTAAAAGCAAATATCTTTGGAGGATGGACTGCAAATAAATATGTAGACGACTGTGGTGAAGAAAAGCTCTCCTTCTAAAGTATATATTTCTCAAGAAAAAAGCACAACCCAAAAAACTAGAGAATAGACCTTTCTGAGGTTTCATAAAAAAACTTAGTCCATTAGCTCCAAACTATTGAGGTGACATATATAAACTCTTTGCATGAGTTAAATCAAGACAAATAAGAATGCTAAAATGTTAAATTCTGTTTGCATTGGACAGGGTAAATGTATATTCCTACCATTTAGATTACATACTTTATTTAATAGAAGAGTTAAATGAGAAAATTGGCATTGCTCTGTAGCTACAAAAGTATAAAAGTCTGTGCATGTTTGAAAAATAGCAACATAAAGGCAGCTTTTTAATCCTTGAATCTGAAACTACATGTTGGGCTGGGCTATCCGCTCAGCCTGAGAGCAACTACTTTCTCAGCATAGTCTCAGGCTAGAGGAGCATGTGTAGCATTTTTAAAAAGTTTATATTTTCAATCTTTTGTATAATTAAAAAATTAAAACTTACCAAGGAATTTTCAACTAAATAGCTCTTCCTTTCATAGGAGAAGGGTAGAGAATAAGACACTGACTTTAAGTTCTCCAAATAGACTGGATTTTTAAGGGAAAAAAAACCCTACATTTTGGATGTAATCATAGTTCATAATGATATTCAAAGCAAATTTTAACACCTTCTAGAAAAAAATTGTAAGCCAATTTCTCAATAAATTAAATATTTTAAACATACAATTGATAACAAATATAAAAACAGTTTAAACTAACATTCAAAAACAAAAAATAAATATTGAAATAACAAAAACATTCTATAATGAATAAGACATTATTCTAAACAAAAGGAATTAGTTTTAAAAACAGATATTAAGTTGCAAAAATAAGCCAGTAAGGAATGGTTTGCCTTAGGGAAAAAAATGACTGAATTAATATTTAGCAGTCATTCTGACAATAGAGGGAGCAGATAAAAATGACAAGATTCTTATCACCAATATCACTTTTATTCATTCACTAATTTAATATTCATTTACAAAACTATTATTTGGACAAGAAACCATATACAGAAATATGAAAGTGTTAGTAAAATATTTAAAAATACCATTTGACAATATTTCTTCGTGTAATTTTTGATTACCCTGATTCTTCCCCATAGGAGCAAACTCCTAGATCTCACATATCTATTACCTAAATATGATTTGAAAAATTCTAAGATAGCCTCCATGATCTTCATTCCCTCGTGTTATTCTAATGAGCATGTCACATAGCAAAAAATTTTTTGCAAATATCACTAAGGTTACCATTTAATTACCCTTAAAATAGGGAGGTGATCAGGGTGGGTCTCACCTAATCACCTGAGCTGTGTAAAATCACAGAGCTTTCTCCAGCTGAGAACAAAAGAGGAAGCCAGAGATTGGAAGCATGAGTAAAATTTGGTGAATTGCTGCTGGTTGGGAAATGGAGGGTACTATGTGGAAATAACTTGAAAGAGATTCCTAGAAACTGAGAGCAGCCCTGAGCCACTAGTCAGCAAGGAATCAGGAACTTTAGTTCTACAGTTGCATGAAACTGGATTCTGTAACAATAAGAAAGACTTTGGAAATAGAGTGTTTCCCAGAGCCTCCAAATAAGAACTCAGCCTGGCTGATATCCTGATTTTGACTTTGTGGGATCCCAAACAGAGAATATAGTGGAGCCCACCTTGGCTTCAGACCTATGGAGCTTTGAGCTAATAAACCGGTTTTGGTTTAAGCTGCTAAATTTGTGGTAATTTGTAACACTCAATAAAATAAATTTTAAAAATCACAACATTAGGATAAAGTTGCTATAGTAGAAGCTGAGAAAAGAATTTTAAATTTGGAAACCCTAGACCCTGAGACATCATGGGCCATAACGAATACATAATTAGTCAAGTTTAGGCTTCTAAGCTCCCGATCTTTCCAGGATGAGACCAGATAAAGTTTCTTATGAGCTGGGAAAGGAGGTTCTTAAGAGCAATGGTAATAATAAGTCCCATATCCAACACCTTAGATGGTAATGGGTTACTGAGAAGGAGGTATGGCATCTTTTCCTTCTCTAAGTTTTGCCTGAAAACAGGAGTTTAACAAACACATAGACAGCTTTGGGGATCTGAACTACAGAGAGATTGGTATCATCTTTCCTGGGAAAAATCACACAATAGAGTTAGTTGGTAATAATTATAAATCATGGCAAATAAATATTAACATGTTTAACTATTATGTGTCAGGCACTGATGTAAATTACTTTCATCCATTATTCCATTTAAACCTCATAAAAACTCTATGAAGATAAACCTACAATTTCTGCCTATTTTACAAATAGAAAGTGCAAAGAAAAACAATTTTCAAATCTTCTCAGCAAATAAGTATAGAAAGAAGGATGTGAATCCTAATAGTCTGGCTCCTTGGTTTATGCTTTTATCCACTAACCTAAGACTTCAAGAAAGTAGGAACAAACAAACAAAAAACAAGCAGAGAAATGTGTTTTCATGTTTTTAGGCAGATGATCGCAAGACAGCCTGTCACGCAACTGTTGCCCCCATCACAATACACACATTTCTAAATGGCAGGGGGAAAATACTTCTTGTGTCCAAATGTGTAAGCAGTGAAGGAGTCCAGATGGATGGCCTCGGCATTTTCCCAATATGCCATATACGGCGGGATGAGCAGGATGGCAAGATCATTCTGAAAGGGGCAAAGGCAACAGAGAAGTAGACCAAAAAGTATCTTAAAATCAGGAGAATGGACAAGACAGTCTCCAGATGTTGAGCTTATTCTGCCTCTGTTCCTACTCTGCCAATACAAAGGGTATTCTTTTTTATTTGTATTTTTTTATTTTTTTGAGACAGGGTCTCACTCTGTCACCCAGGCTGCAGTGCATTGGCATGATCTCAGCTCACTGCAACCTGTACCTCCCGGGTTCAAGCGATTCTCCTGCCTCAGTCTCCCTTGTAGCTAGGACTATAGGTGCACCCCGCCACGTCTGGCTAAATTTTTTGTATTTTTAGTAGGGACAGGGTTTCACCATGTCTCACATCTTATACTGAAATTGGAATACAATAGATATTTTACAAATAACAGGATTTCTTTATTGCTTTCATGAGATATTCTTCACAAAGTCAGAGATTTTTTTACTTATATTCATGTTAACTTTCTGAAAATAAGCTTCTGGGATTAAACAATGATAAATTTTACATTATGTATATGGTTCAATTATGTAACTGTGATTGGTTGAATGAGTATCATCAGATTGGTCTAGAATACGGGAAATAATCTGGAAAAGCTAAGTAAGTAACTATCCAAATTTATCAGAATTGCTTTCCTATATAAGTAGAATTTTAATCTACTTACATACATTATGAGTTTTCTAGCTATATATTTATCTATAATTGTATATAATATGTATACTTTTTAACTTTTTACCCTTATTTTGGTATATCTGTCATCACAGAAAACAAACACAAGTTTTTTGTATTGGAAAGACCAAATAGAAAGTTCAAATAGAAAGTGTGTATTACATTTATACTTCTGTTTAAGGGACCAGTTAAAAATGAGAACATCATATATTAACTTCATGTAATGATAAATGACGCCAGAATGTTTCTTACATTTAGTTTTAAAGTGAAACCTAGGAATTTTAGTTAGATCTAAACTTAGCTGTGTCTCCTCAGATTCATCACTTGCTACCATATGCTGTGTTTCTGATTACAATTCTCATAATCTGTGGAGTGGCTACAGATGTCTGCTTTTAAATAAAAACAACGATCAGTTTTCTAAAGAATGGACATGGGCCACATTTCTAATTTCAAGTTAGAAAATTTGTTCCATTTTACAGGTTTATTTTTGCACCTGCAGACTCCTAGCAAGATTTGCAGTCCGTGACTATTCTAGACAATTCTTTTTTATCATTTTTCCAATTTCAAGTAATATTTTTTAAAGATCCATCCTGAGGCTATGTTCTAAAATTTTATGCTGAAGTTACTTTCACTCATTTGAAAAAAATTTGAGCATAATAAGTAAATTTATAATTTATTTCATTTTGACGATGATTAGACATGGGTAATCTGAAAGTATTTTCACTCCCAATTATGTGAATCTATCATTGATTACGAAGAGTAGATTTTTATGTCCTTACATTCATTCTAGACATTCTTGGAAATTTAATCCTACAAATTATCAACTTTTATTGAATAATTCTATGATTGTTATTGAATAATTCATCCAATTTGCAGATAAAGAAACTTAAGTCTCATAAAAATTAAGAGGGTTGAGTCACAGCACTAGTGAGTGGGAGATTTAGAGCTGAATCTAGAAATATGTATGTACTCAACTAAGTCAGTCATCACCTTTCATTGATGAAGAAGTTGTACCTAGGATTTTTAGATAGTGTTATCCAACACAGGCATGTTTTGCATTTTCATTTTCACGTTTCCAAACAGTTTAATTATTTGCCTGGATTTAACCACTTAAAGTTTCATTGGACAGGAAATGGTGCTCTATACTATAAAAATGTGCACACGTGTACGTATATGTGTAGATATTCAGCAGTAAATAATGTTATGAATCTTTCCAAAGCTTAAATCTCAGAGAGTGTGATTCACACACCCATTTAAATATAGAAGTTTAATGAAAGCAATATTTCTGGGTACTGCCATATCCATTTCTAAATACTTCAATTTTACTTCATTTTTTCTGGAATCCTACATGGTAGTTATTTATTAACAATTGATTTAGTACTTCCTTTCCCTCTCTCTCTCTTACTCTATCTATCATTTCTCTATTCTTAATTCATTTCCAAGGAATGTATTTTTCCTGTGGAAATTTCCAATTCATGTATTTTGTATTGTTGAATAAAACAGGCAAATATTGAGTCCAGAGGTAATATATTAACTGCCTCAATGTTCAACTCTAGAGAACACATCTTATATTCCAACTTCATGATAAATTAAGAAATATTTTAAGTAGTATAAATATAATGTGGTTTATTTCCAGTATTATTGATATTCTTTGATAATATCTTAGAAGTATCATACAGCTGAAAATAGAACAAATCCATGACATAGTAAATGTAGGGTTCTCAAAAGCCAAGTTCACATAATTCTTCATCACTTAAATAAAGTACCACTGGTATAGAAAATTGCTAAATTCACTAGATACATGTGCCTTAAACATTTTGTTTTTCATTAATTTATTCCTTCAAAAACCCAAAGGGAGCATTATCTCTGTGCCAAGTTTTTACTCTATGAAAGTTTTGCTGTTACGCATATGGAAGAGCTCTTAGCATGGTGATCATTGTTATATAACCGCATTGTTATTATAATAAATATTACTGCCAGTAGTGCTTTTGTAAGTTTTTCTTACTCTCTTATTGCTCACATGCCTTTCTTCTTTACTTATTTAAAGACATAAAAAGGCACTGAATTTGCAAATCTGTGATAATCATTATTAATTTATCAACTTTTTTTTTTTTGGAGACGAAGTCTAGCTCTGTCACCAGGCTGGAGTGCAGTGGCGTGATCTCGGCTCACTGCAACCTCCGCCTCCTGGGTTCAAGTGATTCTCCTGCCTCAGCCTCCCGAGTAGCTGGGACTACAGGCATGCACCACCACGCTCAGCTAATTTTTGTATTTTTATTAGAGATGGGTTTTCGCCATGTTGGCCAGGATGATCTTGATCTCTTGACCTGATGATCGGCCCGCCTTGGCCTCCCAAAGTACTGGGATTACAGGTGTGATCCACCATGCCCGCCCCTCAACTTCTTAATTAGAACCACATTCATTGTAGGATTTCTTTTCTGTCACAGATTTGTTTTATCAGCTGTTTAGATGGTAGTTTGGAGGAAAAGATAGCATTTCTCTAATTGTGTTTAAAAAGTGATGTGTGAGGTTTTTTGATAAAGCGAGAGGCCATAATGCTCAATACCAGTTATTGGTATTTTCTCCTACTTGGGAGAAAATACCTCCTACTTGGGAGGTTAAGTCTTCAGAATCTTCCTTACAAGGCCTTTCATTTTATTAACATGATAATGACTACGATGATGAAAATAGGCAGATAAATAGATATGATATATATTTAAAATATAAAATTATATAGTTATTTAATATTAAGATATTAATTAATAATAATTAATAATACATGCTTATAGCAAAATTAGAAATATCTCAGGAATGTAAAAATAATTTAACATTAGGAAATATTGTAATATTTTCTTCATGTTAAACAAATTAAAATTATGGAGAAAACATATTCAGTTTGGGAGGCCGAGGTAGGTGGATCACTTGAGGTCAGGAGTTCAAGACCAGCCTCTCCAACATGGTGAAAGCTCATCTCTATTTAAAAATACCAAAAAAATTAGCTGGGCATAGTGGCACAGGCCTGTAATCCCAGCTACTTGGGAGGACGAGGCAGGAGAATTGCTTGAACCTCGGAGGTAGAGGTTGCAGTGAGCCAAGATTGTGTCACTGCACTCCAGCCTGGGTGACAGAGCGAGACTCCATCTCAAAAAAAAAAAAAAAAAAAAAAAAGAAAAAACAGAAAAAGAAAACATATTCAATAAAATTCAATATCCATTCATAATAAAACTCTTAGCAAACTAGCTGTATATGGAAATTTCTTATACTCAAGAAAGTTGTAATTTCAGATATCATTTTTAATTATGGCCTTTTCTTCAAAATTAGAATTAAGAAAAATTAAACTCATTGTAACAGCTTCTATTCAATATTCAAACAAGAAGTCCTAGTGTATAAGTAGAAAGTAAGAAATATACTTCCATATTTGGAACTTATATGAGTGAAATAGATAAATTATAATATTGATCATGGATTTCATCAGTATTTCTGGGAACAAAATCTACATATAAAAGACATTGCATTACTGTAGACCAGCAACAGTTAGAAAATATAATGATAGTAATAACAGTAATTAACAAATAAATTTTTAAAAAAATTATGTTCAGGGATATGGATATGAAAATTCCACAGTTAATTTTCTTAATGCAATATCATAGACTGTCACAATGCAATTGATATAAAAAATATGAGGGTCAAGGTTTCCCTAGATAATTGTGAAGAAGAATAACATGAAAATACTAGTTATCTAACTATGGAAACTATAGCAATTTAAGATAATGTTATTAACACAGGGACAGACAAGCCAATAGATAGAATCAAGAACCCAAAAATTGACCCATTTAATATGAAAAACATATCTATGAAAAATGTGGCATTACATATTGATGGTAAATACTGAGCCCTAACACCGTAAAGCAAAAAACAAAGACTTAGTATCTGTATTGGCCTGATCTGAATGTAACAAAAAGTATTTAAAGTGATTAAAAAGTCTATCTCTTGGCCGGGCACGGTGGCTCATGCCTGTAATCCCAGCACTTTGGGAAGCTGAGGGGGGTGGATCACCTAAGGTCAGAAGTTTGAGACCAGCCTGCCCCAACATGATAAAACCCTATCTCTACTAAAAATACAAAAATTTAGCTGGACATGGTGGCGGGTACCTGTAATCCCAGTTACTCAGGGGCTGAGGCAGGAGAATCGCTAGAACCCAGGAGGCAGAGGTTGCAGCAAGGCGAGATTGCACCACTACACACCAGCCTGGGAGACGAGAGCAAAACTCTGTCTCAAAAAAAAAAGTCTATATCTTTTTTTATTGTTTAAAACAAATACATAGATATTAAAATTACTGGTTTTTTGAAAGTCATTTTAATACTTAATAACAACTCTATGGAACTCATGGCCTTATTTTATGAAAGGAGTCATTACTTTGTAAACACTGATTAAATATGTTTAAGGACTATAGGTACCTTCAGTAATTTTCTTTCTTTTATGCAAATAATATTGTTCTAGGAAAAATATCAATGTAATCAAAATTTTCCATAGTTTTTGAATAAATTTCTAAAATGTTCTATTTTTCTCAGTCTGTGCTTAGGTCACTTTTGTCATTCATAACATTGATTGTGTTTTCTCTAGCTCATCCTAATGTTTTTTCCAGAAGTTTTCTATTTTATTAATTTTATAAAGAACCACATTTTTTGCTTTATGGTTCCTCTTCATTATAGATTTGCTTCTTATTTCTTTACACTCTGTTCCTTTTTTTCTACTGACAACTCTATTGTATTTGAGTTTATTCTGTCATATTCATTTCTTAGTACAATTTTCTAGCTTTATTCTTTAGTATATAATTACTTAAGATTCTAAATTTTCCTTGAAGCCCCACTTTAACTTTCATTCTACAATTTTTATATAAAGTATTTATATTGTTTATTTATATGTTTAGTTAAAATGTATGCTTTAAAATGTATGCTTAAAGGTGCATATTTCCAAATATATAAAATTGTTGAAGTTCTTTTTAAACTAAATGCCAAATTTATATTGTAGTCACAGAGGACTGTGTGATATAGATTTTTAAATTGTTCCTAATACTTATTGTATGCAAGAGCATAGAGTAAAATTTTAGTAATATTCTATGCTTGAAATAATGGCTATCTTGATTACTACATGATATGGTTTGGCTGTGTCCCCACCCAAATCTCATCTTGAATTGTAGTTCCCATTATCCCCATGTGTTGTGGGAGGGACCTGGTAGGAGATAATTAAATCATGGATGTTGTTTCCTCCATACTGTTCTCATGGCAGGGAATAAGTCTCATGAGATCTGATGGTTTTACAGAAGGGATTCCTATTGCTTTGATTTCATTCTCTCTGCCTGCCACCGTGTAAGATGTTCCTTTCACCTTCCATGATGGTTGTGAGTTTTCCTCAGCCACGTGGAACTGTGAGTCTATTAAACCTCTTTTTCTTTATAAATTACCCAGTCCAGGTATGTCTTTATCAGCAATGTAAAAACTGACTAATACAGTTAATTGGTACCGGTAGAGTGAGGTGATGCTGTAAAGATACCTGAAATTGAGGAAGCGACTTTGGAACCGGGTAACGGGCAGAGGTTGAACAGTTTGGAGGACTCAGAAGAAGACAGGAAGATTTGGGAAAGTTTGGAACATCTAGGGACTTGTTGAATGGTTTTGACCAAAATGCTGATAGTAATATGGACAACAAAATCCAGTCGGAGGTGGTCTCAGATGGAGATGAGGAACTTGTTGGGAACTAGAGTAAAGGATAATCTTGCAAAGTTTTAGCAAAGAGACTGTTTTACCTTTCATTTAATGATATTTTTAATCATTAATCAAGTAGAAAACAATTTTTTGTCTCAAAGTACATTTTCTCTGATGGTAATATAAGTGCAATTTTTTAGGTTAGTATTTGCTTGTTGTAGCTTTTTCTGTTCTTTTATTTTCAACTTTACTGTTTTCAAGATTTCTTGCTACATTCTCTTATTGGAAGCAGATATATTGTTTTTTTTTTCTTTTACTTTGTTAGTTTGGGATTTGTAAATGGAACTTTTACATGATATTGATTATGATTTCTAGTAGACTATTTTAATGATCATATTTCAATCTTGCTATATACCATGATTTTTCTATGCTCTTTTTTCTTTTTCTAGGTCTTCTTTGTATTGATTTATCTTAATTTCATTGTTTCCCTATGTTAGTCTGACAGTTAAATAATCTATTTTTGCTCTTTTAGTGGTTATCACTAAAATTTCAAAATACATAATATCCCTTAAAATTAAAAGTAATTAACATATTTGTGGTCCCCTTTCAAACAACACATGGAGCATAGAATCTTTTTATGTATGATCATTCTACTCCACTTTATTATACTTCTGCATTGATTTATGCCAAATCATTATATTCTCTGCAATGTACAAATATCTCTGTTTCCTTCTTATCCACCTTTGAAAGGTGATTCAATGATGTGGGTGAAGCCTATGTGACTAGAATAAGTACCTCTACAAAGGAGATCCTAGGGATCTAGCTAGTCATTTCCACCCTGTGAGGACACAATTAGAAGGCTCTATGAACCAGAAATTAGTCCTTATGAGACATCAAATCTATCAGAGTCTTAATCTTGGAATCCCCAGCCTGTGGAACTGTAAGAAATAAATTTCTGTTGTTTATAAACTGGCCAGTTCAGGGAATGTTTATAGCAGCAAGAACAGACTAAGATGATCTCTAAAACGCTTATGTTTATTATAAAGTTAAGACATATAACATTCCCCTTGTGTTTACTAATTTAATTGCTCATTTTTCTTCTTGTGTTATAGGCTCTTTTTAAGATATCATATTCTTCTTTCTGAAGTATGTCATTAGAAATTCTTTAATTAGGGCTGGCTTATCATAAAGTTTTTGGTTTGTTTTAAAGATTTCTTTATTTCACCTTTATTGGTAAAAGGTAGTTTTGTTGGATATAAAATACTGGGTTGCCAGTCATTGCTTCTCAGATTTTTGAAGCCATTTATATACTTTTATATTTTTACTGTGGCTAAGTGAGTTATCAGTTTCTAATTTTTTTGTTTTAAGAAATTTTTTATTTCACTTTGTTAGTCTTTTTATGTTATAGAGTTTTACTATTATGTAAATAAATGTTTGTTTCTTTTCATTTTTCTTGCTTCAGATTTTCAAAACTTTCTGAACCTGAAAAATTATGCCTTTCAATAATTCTGGAAAATGTTCAGTCATTCCGTTTTCTTCTCATGGCACACTAAATAGACATGTGCCACATTTCATATATGTTAACCACTTTCTAATAGTTTCCATTCTATATTTATTAAATTACATTCAGTGTAATTTCTTCAACTCTAACTTCTAGCTCCTTCTCTCTTTTGCTATGTCTAGCTGTTCATTTGTCTTTTTTATTATTATTTTAATGATGAGTTTCTTTATTTCCATATCTAGATAAAGATTTTTCAAATATATTGTATTTTAGTCCTATTATCTTATTTTCTCAGATGTGTGGTGTCTTTAAACTTTTAAAATACTTCAACAATTTTTATTATAAATTTTGTTCCAATAATTACATTAACTGAAGCTTTTGCCTCTTCCCATGGTGAATTTTTAATTTGACATTTGGATTTGGAACTCAAATCTAAACTCAAATACAAAGCCCTTTGATACAGCTTTATCTTTAAGAACACTGAGACACACAGGTTTAGAATGAGTCCTTTCAGATTCTCAAGAATATCCAATATGTTCATTTTAAATTAATTTTACAGACTGAGGTTTGAAAAAAAAAGCTATTAGTAAAAATTGCATCTTTAAACCCATAATTAAGAATTCCTGGATAGAAAAATTATCCTCCTAACCCATTCTCAGGAATTCAGGCTGAAACAAAATGTTTACTTTTTTTTCTTCTTTTGCTAGTAGTGTAACTTTTTTCCCTGTCCATGCATTTACTAAGATACAGCTCTTTAATTGTTTCTATTAATCTCACTGGAACTCTAAATGTTTACTCTTAAGCCCTTTGGCTATTAAAAGCAAGCCTCTTATTTACTATAACTGGCAAATACCTATAGACCATCTTTAGTTTCAGCTTGAACTTACTGTCATTCTACCCCACTAATATTTCAGGCTGTCAACCCTTGTTTTTTTCAGAACATTTATTGTTTTTCTTATTTACTTCAGAGCTCCATTGATTAGGTTATTGTATAATACTTTTCCTACATATTTTATTTGTTCTATCTTCTTAACACTTGCAGAAAAATTTAGGCATTATTTAGCTTTAAAGTATTAATTTATTTTATTCTAACATATTATGAGGTTAATACTATCATTACACTTATTTTAATTAATAGGAAACTGAGGTACAAATGTTAAAACAACTTATGCAGTATCATACACCTTATAAGTGGCAGAGGTAGCATTAAAACAGGCATTCTAGTTTGAGAATCATTATTCTCAAATTTTAGACTACATTTCTGTGTTAGGCCATTTTTGCATTACTGAAAAGAAGTACCCAAGACTGGATAAGAATTCAATTATTTCTGTTTTTATCTTTTTTTTTTTTTAATTATTCTTTCTTCTGTTTTTATGTCTCTTTAACGGAATCTTGGCTTATTTCTGTCTTTTCTACATTTTCATTATAAAAGAATGCATGACAAAAGACTATGTGTCTCAGAATACATTTGGGCGTATCTAGTAAATGTTGAAAGTAAGATAACTTTCTAAATAGTCTCCTGTTCCTCTTAATATCCTCCTCTGTTTGTGGTTGTCTCAATCCAGTCTCATCAATTTAGGAAGGAATTATTATAAATGATGGATAATTGAAATAAATCCATAGGAACTTCAAAAATTAACTTTTTTCATAATCTTATAGAAAATAAGCTGTAGACTTTCTAGAATAGTCACCGTTTAAAATATTCTGCCGTGCTATCTTACTATATAACTATGCATCTAGATTTTAATTCAAGAAATATATTCACTAATCTTACAGAGCCAATGAAAGATGAACACAGCTCTGGCCCTCAGGCCCTGTCAATAGAGTTTTAAATTCATAAAAATTAAAAGTACTAAAGTACTATTCATTTTTTTGCCTTTCATATATATATATGGAATAATTTGGTTCTAACCAACTTTGTAATGGTTTCCAAACCAGAGCAAATAAAAACTTTTGATGTTAATGACTTTGCTTACTTCATGCTTTTAAAGGAAAATTGAGAAGTATCTGTTCATATCCTTTGCCCACTTTTTGATGGGGTTGTTTGATTTTTTCTTGTAAATTTGTTTAAGTTCTCTGTAGATTCTGGAAAGAAGACATTTATGCAGCCAAAAGACACATGAAAAAATGCTCATCATCACTGACCATCAGAGAAATGCAAATCAAAATCACAATGAGATACCATCTCACACCAGTTAGAATGGCAATCATTAAAAAGTCAGGAAACAACAGGTGCTGGAGAGGATGTGGAGAAATAGGAACACTTTTACACTGTTGGTGGGACTGTAAACTAGTTCAACCATTGTAGAAGTCAGTGTGGCGATTCCTCAGGGATCTAGAACTAGAAATACCATGTGACCCAGCCATCCCATTACTGGGTATATACCCAAAGGACTATAAAGCATGCTGCTATAAAGACACATGCACACGTATGTTTATTGTGGCACTATCCACAATAGCAAAGACTTGGAATCAACCCAAATGTCCATCAATGATAGACTGGATTAAGAAAATGTGGCAGATATACACCATGGAATACTATGCAGGCATAAAAAATGATGAGTTCATGTCCTTTGTAGGGACATGGATGCAATTGGAAATCATCACTCTCAGTAAACTATCGCAAGGACAAAAAACCAAACACCGCATGTTCTCACTCATAGATGGGAATTGAACAATGAGAAAACATGGACACAGGAAGGGGAACATCACACTCTGGGGACTGTGGTGGGGTGGGGGGAGGGGGGAGGGATAGCATGAGGAGATATACCTAATGCTAAATGACGAGTTAATGGGTGCAGCACACCAGCATGGCACATGTATACATATGTAACTAACCTGCACATTGTGCACATGTACCCTAAAACTTAAAGTATAATAAAAAAAAAGTCAGGAAACAACAGGTGCTGGAGAGGATGTGGAGAAGTAGGAATGCTTTTACACTGTTGGTGGGACTGTAAACTAGTTCAACCATTGTGGAAGACAGTGTGGCGATTCCTCATGGATCTAGAACTAGAAATACCATTTGACCCAGCCATCCCATTACGGGGCATATACTCAAAGGATTATAAATCATGCTGCTATAAAGACACATGCACATGTATGTTTATTGCTGCACTATTCACAATAGCAAAGACTTGGAACCAACCCAAATGCCCAACAATGATAGACTGGAATAAGAAAATGTGGCACATATACACCATGGAATGCTATGCAGCCATAAAAAAGGATGAGTTCATGTCCTTTGTAGGGACATGGATGAAGCTAGAAACCATCATTCTGAGCAAACTATTGCAAGGACAGAAAACCAAACATCGCATGTTCTCACTTATAGGTGGAAATTGAATAATGAAAACACTTGGACACAGGGAGAAATATGTCACACACCAGAGACTGTCATGGGGTGGGGGGAGGGGGAATGGATAGCATTAGGAGATATGCCTAATGTAAATGACTAGTTAACGGGTGCAGCGCACCAACATGGCACATGTATACATATGTAACAAATCTGCACATTGTGCACATGTACCCTAGAAGTTAAAGTATAATTAAAAAAAAGGAAAATTAAAATATTAGTCACTCTAAAATTGAACTATTCACAAAGATAAATATTATTAGATTACAAATGAACATTCCATTATAGGTTATTCTACTGATCCTACCCACAAGTATTTGGAAATTTTCTTTATACCTTAGGGTTAGGATATTATTGACATATTCAAGTAGTTCTACAAATCTGTAGCATGCTGATTTCTGCTTGCTAGAATCAGTCTAAGTTTAGCAGAATTTGCCACTTAGGAAGTTAATCCCTTCATACATTAAAATTCTCTGGATAGTGTGATACATTTGGATATCAGATTGGATATTCTCTCATTATGAGCCTTGTTGGACTATGGAGACAACAAATTCATCATGTGGGCGTGCTACTCCAGCCCATTTATGAAATGGCCTAAAAAGCTGCAGTTTTGAGTGGGGCCCAGAACAAGAGAAGGCTCTGCAACAGGTCTAGGCTTCTGTGAAAGCTGTACTGCCCATTGGTCCATATGACTCAGCAGATCCAATGGTGCTTAAAGTAGCAGATAGGGATGCTGTTTGGGATCTATATTATATCCCTATAGGTGAGCCATTGAGCCTTTTAGAATTTTGGAGCAAAACTCTTTCATTCTCTGTATATAACTACTTTCCTTTTGAGAAATAGCTTTTGGACCAGTACTGGGCCTAGTGGAGATTGAATGTTTAACCATGGACAGCCAAGTGACCTGAGCTTTTCATCATGAACTGGGAATTATTTAGCCCACCAAGCAATAAAATTGGGCATACACGGCAGCACTCCATCATCAAATGGAAGTGTTATGTACATGATTAGGTCCAAGCAAGCCCTGAAAACATAAGTAAGTTACATGAAGAAGTGGCTCAAATGTTCATGGTCCTCATTCCTGTTACACTGACTTCTATCTCTCAGCCTGCACCTATGGTCTCATGTGGAGATCCCTATAATCAGTTCATTGTGGATGAGAAGACTTGGGCTTGGTTTACAGATGTTTCTTACAGATGTTTCTTATGCAGGCACCACTCAAAAGTGGCAGCTGCAGTACTATAGCCCCTGTCTAAGACATTCCTGAAGGATGGTGGTGAAAGTAAGTCTTCCCAGTCAGCAGAACTTCAGGAACACTTGGTTGTCCATTTGGCTTGCAAGGAGAAGTAATCAGATATATACTAATTATATACTGATTAACGAGCTATAGCCAATGGTTTGACTGAATGGTCAGGTACTTGGAAGGAACATGATTGAAAAATTGATGACTCTACATGTTCTGCACATGTATCCCAGAAGTGAAAGTAAAATTTAAAAAAAAATGACAAGGAAGTCTGAGCAAGAGGTATGTAGACAGACAACTCTGAATGGACAAAAATTATAGCAATACTTGTGTTCTACGTGAATGCTCACCAAAGTATGACCTCAGCAGAGGAGGATTTTAATAATCAAGTGGATAACATGACCCATTTCATGGATACCAGTCAGCTTTTTTTTTCTTCTAACTACCCCTGTTATTGCCCAATGGGCTCATAAAGTTGCCATGGTGGTAGGAATGGCAATTATGCCTGGGCTCAGCAACATAGATTCCCACTCACCAAGTCAATCTAGATATAGCCACTGCTAAGTGCTCAATATGCCAGCAGTAGAGAACAACACTGAATCCTCAATATGACACAATTCCCTGGGGTGGCAGTTTGGTTGCTTCTATAATAAAAAGGGCAGTGTTTTGTTTTACTAGAATAGACACTTAGGCCAGATGTGGGTTAGCCTGCCCTGCATACTATATTTCTGCCAAACGCGCCATCTGTGGACTTACAGAAGGACTTACTCACCATTATGGTACTCCACACAGCATTGCTTCTGATTGAAAACTCCCTTCACAGCAAATGAAGTATGACAATGAGCCTATACTCATGGTATTCACTGGTCTTACCATGTTTCCCATCATCCTAATGCAGCTTAATGACAGAAAGGTAGAATGTGGAAAAAAGCTTCATTAAAAAGATGCAACCTAACAAGCTGACAGAGGTGGACTTGTGATGGTTAATGTTATGTGCCAACTTGGCTGGGCCATGGTGCCCAGATACTTGGTCAAATATTATTCTGCATGTTTTTGTGAAGGTATTTTTCGGATAAGATTAACATTTAAATCTGTGGATTTTGAGTAAAGCAGAATATCTTCCATCATGTGTGTGGTTTTCATCCAATCAGTTAAAGTCCTCAGTAGAATAAAGAATGACCTCCCCAGAATAAGAAAGAATTTTCTAAGCAGATTGCTTTTGAACTGGAATCTCAACTCTTTGAATCTCCAGCATGCTGGTCTATCTTGCAGATTTTGAATTTATCAAACTTCTGCAATTGTGTGAACAAATTATTTAAAATAACTTTCTCTCTCTCTCCTTCTCCTGCTCCTGATTCTGTAATTCTGCTTCTCTGGAGAACCCCTAACTACTGCAGATTTTCATAATCATAATTAAGAACACATTAGAGTAACCTCTAGAATTAATTTAAAAATCAGATTATTCAATTCAACAGTTTGTTAGTAAGTAAAAAACACAGACAATATTCAATTATTTTATCTGTAAAGCCATAACAGGTGCATATGTAAGCCATGAAAAAAGAAAATGACATCTTAATGCACAAAATTCCAAAAGTATATTCTTCTTAATTGAATCAGCTTCTAATTATTTGAGATGAATAAGAAAAAATGAACCAGAGTTCAGGTACATGCATTTCTCACACGTATAATGCATTTTTAACATCTTTAATTATTCTAAATATTTATTTTTATTCTAATGCTTAAGATAAGAGTTGATTTCTGAAGTTTTAATACAAGGGAAATATCTTTTATGATAGGATGTGACCAACATTTTGCCCGAATACTTATGGTTTTCTTTGAAATGACAGTTAAGAAGATTCAGAAAATAAAATGTATATTACTTTGACTTTATATATATATCACAAAAACAATTTAGAGGTTTTCCTTTTATGAATTCCTTGTATCACAAATATAACTTGTAATTGGTAAAATTTGTATTAACAGAATTTAGTTAGATACATGAGCTGAACTAGAAAACTATCATCAAGAACTGCTTTAGTGATGGGCTAGATGATCTTTGTAGGAAAAACAAGGGGATTATTATCTATAGAACAGAAGACAAGGATTTAGAGATACTAGCTAACTTGTCCAGGTTTTCACACTCTGGAAGTGAAGGAACCACTTAAACTTGTGACTTATTAGGAGGAAACAAAACAACAGCCAACCTTAGGACATACAAGAGAATAAACTATGGTTTCTGTCCACATTAAGCTTATAGTCTACTCTTGCACACAAGATACGTAGTTAGTGCAATTTAATGTAATCTAAAATGGTATCAGTAAAGAAATATCTTTGATACACACATACACACATACAGGCATACTTTGGAGATACCACGAGTTTGGGTCCAGACAACTGCAATAAATATATCAATAAAACAATTAACAAAGTTTTTTTTTGTTTCCCAGTGCATATATAAATTGCATTTACACTACATTATAGTCTATTAAGGGTGCAATAGCATTACATCAAAAAATGTACATACCTTAATTTAAAAATGTTTAAATGCTAAAAAATGCTAACAATTATTTGGACCTTCAGAGGGTCAGAATCTTTTCACTGGTAGAGGGCCTTGCCTCAATGTTGATGGCTACTCACTGATCAGGGTGGAGATTGCTGAAGGTTGGGGTGACTGGGGCAATTTCTTAAAATAAAACAAACAGTGAAGTTTGCTGCATCAACTGACTCTTCCTTTTATGAAACATTTCTCTATAGCATGCAATGCTGTTTGACAGCATTTTACTCACAGTAGAACTTCTTTCAAAATTGGATTCAATCTGCTCAAAACCTGCCATTGCTTTATCAACTAAGTTTATGTAAAATTCTAAATCTTTGTCATTTCAGCAATATTCATAGCATCTTCATCATGAGTAGGTTCCATCTCCAGAAACTATTTTCGTTGTTCATCCATAAGAAGTAACTCCTCATCGATTTAATTTTTACCGTGAGATTGCAGCAGTTCAGTCACATTTGCAGGCTCCACCTCTAGTTCTAGTATTTTTGCTCTTCCTACCACATCTGCAGTACTTCCTCCACTGAAAGGTTGAACCCTTCAAAGTCATACATGAGGGTTGGATCAGTTTCTCCCAAACTCCTGTTAATGCTGATATTTTGACCTCGTCCCACAAATCACAAACCTACTTAATGGCACCTAGAATGATAAACTATTTCCAGAAGGTTTTCAATTTACTTTTTCCAGGTCTACCAGAGGAATCCATATCTATGGCAGCTATAGTCTTATGAAATCTATTTCTTATATAACAAGACTTGAAAGTCAAATTCCTCTTAATCAATGGGCTTCAGAATAAATGTGTTATCAGGCATGAAAACAACACCAACCTCCTTGTACATGTCTATCAGAGCTCTTGGGTCACTGGTTGCAAACTTAATAAGCAGTAATATTTTGAACATAATCTTTTTTTTCTGAGCAGTAATTTTCAACAGTGGGCTTAAAATATTCAGTAAATTATGCTATAAACAGATGTGCTGTCAGCCAGTCTGTGTTCTATCCATGGAGCACAAGTAGAGATTAATCATAATTCTTAAGGGTCCTAAGCTTTTCAGAATGGTAAATGAACATTAGCTTCAACTTAAAATCATGAGCTGCATTAACTCCTAACAAAGCAGTCTTTTTTAGCTTTCAAGCCAGGCATTGACTTCTCCTCTCTCACTATAAAAGTCCTAGATGTCATCTTCTTCCAATAGAAGGCTGCTTCATCTACACTGAAAATCTATTTTTTAGTGTAGCCACCTTCATCAATGATCTTAGCTAGATCTTCTGGATAATTTGCTGCAGCTTCTCCAGCAGGACTTGCTGCTTCACCTTGCACTTTCAGATTGTGGAGATGGCTTCTTTTCTTAAACCTCCTTCTATTTGTCCATTCTTACACTGCTACAAAAAACTACCTGAGACTGGGTAATGTGAAGAAAGGAGGTTTAATTGACTCACAGTTCTGCAGGCTTAGTGGGATGAATAACTGGGAGGCCTCATGAAACTTACTATCATGGCAGAAAGTGAAGGGGAAGCAAGGACCTGCCTCACATGGCAGCAGGAAAGAGAGAGAGAGAGCAAAGAGGAAAGTGCCATATATTTTCAACTGGATCTCTTGAGAACTCACTCACTATTATGAGAACTCTGATATGGTTTGGCTCTGTGTCTCCACCCAAATCTCATCTCGAATTCTAATCCCCACATGTCAAGGAAGGGACCTGTTGGGAGGTGACTGGATCACGGGGACAGTTTGCCCTATGGTGTTCGCATGATAGTGAGGGAGCTCTCACAAGATCTGATGGTTTAAAATTTGCAGTTTTCCTCAAACTTTCTATCTCTCCTGTTGCCTTGTGTAGAAGGTGCCTGCTTTTCTTTCACCTTCCATCATTATTGTAAGTTTCCTGAGGCCTCCCCAGCCATGCAGACCTGTGAGTCAATTAAACCTCTTTTGTTTATAAATTACCCAGTCTCAGGTACTATCTTTATAGCAGTGTGAAAATGGACTAATACAAATAGCAAGGGGAAATTCTGCCCCCATGATCCAATCACCTACCTCATGGCCCCTCCTCCAATTCAACATGAGATTTGGGCAGGAACACACATCCAAACCACATCACTCATGAACCATATCCTCTGCAATGGACTGAATGTTTACAATTTCTCTTTAAACTTTTCTTCTAGTTTTCGTCTTTTCTTCTACAGCTTCCTCACTTCTCTCAGCCTTCATAAATTGAAAGGATATAGGCTCTTGCTCTGGATTAGGCTTTGGCTTAAGGAAATGTTGTGGCTGTTTTGATCTTCTATTCAGATCAGTTAAACTTTCTCCATAGCAGCTTTAAAACTATTTTATTTTCTCATCATTTGTGTGTTCACTGGAGTATCATTTTCAATTTCCTTCAAAAACTTTTCCTTTGCATTCGCAACCTGGCTGTTTGGTGCAAGAGGTCTAGCTTTCAGCCTGTCTCAGTTTTCAACATACTTTCTTCACTAAGATTAATCATTTTTAGCTTTTGACTGAAAGTGAGAGGCATGTGACTCTTCATTTTACTTGACCTCTCAGAAGCCATTGTAGGGTCATTAATTGGCTTAATTTCAATATTGTCGTGTCTCAGGGAATAGGGAGATCTGAGGAGATGGAGAGTGGTGGGGAAACGGCTGGTCAGTGGAGCAGTCTGAACACATACATTTATTTATTGATTAAGCTCATCATCTTATATGGGTGCTGTTTGTGGTACCCGTAAGAATTATAATAGCCACACCAAAGATCACTGAACACAGATCACCATAACAGATATAATAGTAATAATGTTTGAAATAATTTTGAGAATTACCAAAACGTAACACAGAGAGATGAAGTAAACACATGCTGTTGGAAAAACAGCACCAACAGACTTATTTCATGCAGGGTTGTCACAATCTTCAATTTGTAAAAAACACAAATTTGTGTGTGCAAGAAATCTGTGAAGTGCAATAAAGAGAAGTGAAATAAAATGAGGTATGCTTTCATATAGCCTTTCTGAGAGATTCTAGGAAAGGTAAAAAATCAGCAACAAGGTAAAGAAAAGAAATAACAAATAACTTCAAGGTTACCATACCTGGGAAATGTGAAAACACAAGTCATGTTTTAATTCATTAATTGAGACAGAGTCTCACTTTTTCATCAAGGCTGGAGTGCAAAGGCATGATCACAGCACACTGCAGCCCCAACTTCCTGGGCTCAATTGATCCTCCCACCTCAGCCTCCTGAGCAGCTGGGACTACAGGCAAGTGCCACCATGCCCAGCTGGGTTTGTGTGTGTTTATGTGTGTGTGTGTGTGTGTGTGTGTGTGTGTGTGTATAATTATATGTAATATATATATAAATAATATATATTATATATACACTATATATTATATATATAGTATATATACACACATATATACATACACGTACATATATATATAATATAAATACATGTGTGTTTATATGTGTGTGCATGTGTGTATATATATATATGCACACACACACGCATATGTATATACATATGTATATATTGTTTTGTAGAGATAGTGTTTCTCCATGTTACCCAGGCTGGTCTCAAACTTTTGGGTTCAAGCTGTCTGCCTGCCTCAGCCTCCTAAATTTCTGGGATTACAGGCATGAGCCACTGTGCCCGGCAAGTCATTTTTTTTTAACAGGTACTTTGAAGCATGAGGGAAAATATTAGCTCTAATATTTGATGTCTTGGAACATCAGCTCTAAGAAAAAAAAAAGATAGTGAATTAAATGACGGAATTATAGAATAGTATGTTTCTTCTGAAGATCTGTATGAAATCAAAATTACGTACAATGAGTATCCATTTTATAATCAGGGAAAATAAATACTTATTTTAAAAATAAAAGATATGAACTTGGGACTTCTGCTTCCAGCTATGGCAATGCTAATGGTACTGGACTTTCCCTCTTTCTATAAATAACTAGAAACTGGACAAAATATATAATACCACTGCTTTATGACTTTATACAATAGACAGTGATGGACTATGAGCTCCAAGAGAAGGAAACAAAAAAGATGTTATATATAGTTTCATCAACTTTTTCTCTGGTGGCATGTTTTGGACTGCTGTGCCCAGAGAAGAAAGAAAAGTAGAACACTATGTTCAAATAGTTGATAATCTAGACATCGGAGATTGAGAAAGCTGAGGGGGCCTGATTTTGTTAGTCAGACCAGCGCAGACAAGTGAGCTATGCAAGAAAAAAGACCCATTAAGTCTACTGATCTGCTTTTGATTCTGGCTGAATAATAAGGAATACATTTGTAAGGTGAAACTCCATGACTCTGGGCACAGAACACCTTCTGGAGACATGTCTGCAGAATAATTCTCAGGAATAACTCAGAGCTGGGAAACATACATGATCTGACACAATGAGTGGAGCAAGCTTGATGAAGACCAGAGATTTCACTAGAGATCCCTGCAAGGCCAAGCTTCAATAGTAGAACTAAATTAGCCCTAACGTAAATGTGATTCTAGATCAACCTTACAATGACTAAGACCAATGCTTAAAAGTATAAAGAAGATACATAGTAATTTAACTGCCTGCAAAATAGAATGTAAACATAAAACCAAGCAAAAATATTAGTCAATAGAAACAGGCCCCAAAATCTCAGAGGTTATAAAATTTGCAAAGAGTTTATAAAACAGCTACTGTAAGTATTCTTTAAGATTAAAAGTAAAAAAAAAAAAAAAGTTACTAAATAAGGAGAGAAATAGATGACTCAACAACAACAACAACAAAACACAATGAAACCTATAAAACTAAAAATCTGTAATATATTAAAATTCACTGGAGGGGAAAAACAGAAGACTAAACACTACAGAAGAGAAGATCAGTGAAGATAAACACATTGTGTTAAAAACTACCTAAAATAAAGCCCAGAGAGAGAGAGAGGGAGAGAAAAACGCTAAATAAGACATAAAGAGAGTTCAGTGACCAGTGAGGTAATACCAGTCAGTCTATATATCTGTAATTGAATCCCCAAAAGAGAAAATGAGAAGAGTAGGGAAAATACTTAAAGAATTTAAAGTATTTCAAAGCTTATAAAAATGATAAATCCACAGATCCAAGATACTCAAATGAACCCAGCATGATAGAAAACAAACAAACAAAACATGTCCAGAAACATCAATTTCTGGATTGATTTGAATTGTTGAAAACCTTTAACAAAGTTAACATCTTAAAAGAAGCCAGAAAAAAAATACACAGGTACACAATGCATATATACTTTTGAAAGATTCCTATTTTAAATATAAAGTTGGATAATTGATATGGTTTGGCTGTGTCCTCACCCAAATCTCACCTTGAACTGTAGTTCCTATAATCCCCATGTGTCCTGGGAGAGACATGATGGTAGGTAATTGAATCATGGAGGCAGCTACCTCCATGCTCTTCTCATGATAGCAAGTAAGTTCACATGAGATCTGATGATTTTACAAGGGGTGTTTGCTACTCTTCACTCTGGATGGCTCCTTGCTGCTACCATGTGAAGAAGGACATGTTTGCTTCCCCTTCTGCCATGATTGTAAGTTTCCTGAGGCCTCCCCAGCCCTGCAGAACTGTAAGTCAATTAAACTCTTTATCTTTATATCTTTATAAATTATCCTGTCTCAGGTATTTTTTCATAGCAGCGGGAGAATGGACTAATACAATGAAACTATTTGAATAAAGACTATGAAAAGATACAATATGAAAAGATGGAAAATAATATGGCACATATTAAAACCCTACAGCAATCACTGAATTATATTAGACATAGCTCTAATAAGTGAACATAGGATATAAAGTGAAGAATTTTTTAAAAAATCTGAAAGAAGAAAGCGAGAAGGAAAAACATAAAAAGAAAAAAGATAGGAGATGAATGGAAAACAACTAGAAAAAATGGTAGATTTGAGCCCAAGCATATTAGTAACTACTGTAAATATAAATCATCGAATTAATTAAACGTTAGGGATTCTTAGATTGGATAAAAGGGAATGCTCAACTGTATGCTGTCTTTAAGGAACAGACTACAGTCACAAATACAAAAAAATGGTTAAAGTGAAACTTTTGAAAAACACACACCACGCAGATACAAATATCAAGAAAGAGTAGCTATATTAACGTACAAAATTGACTTTAGCATAAGAAATAATTCTGGGTTTAAAGAAGAAAATATCATAATAAGGAATCAATTAATTAAGATCACATAGCAAAACTAAATACTTACATAGGTAAAAAGAGAAATTGAAATATGTTTGTAATATATATCATCAGTGTGTATAGAACTAAAGAAATAGATAATTTTATGATAATAATAGAAATTATATCTTTTTTACTCAGTAATTGATACTAAAAGTGAATCAAAAAATTTCAATAAGGATATAGAGAAGTGGAATTTTAAAAATTTGTAAAACAAAGAATTTATAAAGCACTACACTCAATAACAGCAGAATGTACATTATGTGTTACTGTACTTAAAATATTCATCAACATAGAACATGTGCTGAGTCACAAAATAATTCAGTGAATTTGAACAGATTGAAATTATTATAAAGATCTTCTCTGATCACTATCAAATTATGTGAGAAATAAACAAAGTAACAACATCAAAAGTCCCTCAGTTTGGAAATTAAGCAGTATATATCAAAATACTCATGATGGAGAAATCACAATCAATATTAGAAAATATTTTTAAAAGTGATTATGAAAGCACAACATATAAAAATTTGTAGGATGAAGCTAAAATAATGATTAAAGGAAAATTTTAGCTTCCAATGATTGCATTAAAAATAAATAAATGTATAAGATTAATAATGTAAGCTTCCACCTTAAAAATCATGGGGCTAGATAAAAAATTAATCACAAAGTAGGTAGAAAGACACAAATAATGGTGATCAGAACAGAAAGCAATGGACTAGACAGTGGGACAAATAGAAAAAAAATCAATAAAACTGAAAGTTAGTTATTTGAAAAGAACAGTAATTGTTTAGTCTTTAAACTGAGCAAGAAAAGAGAAGACACAAATTACAAACATAGGGCTGAAAAAAGTGCCATCCTATAGAATCTGTAACTGTTACAATGATATAGGAGAAATATTACGGATAATTAATACTAATAAATTCAACAATGTGAATGGAAGGGACAAATTCCTGGAGAGAAAAAATTACTAAAATTGGCATGAGAATAAATAGAAAGTATAAATACTGTTGCTGCTATTAAAGAAATTGAATTCGTAATTTAAAAACTTTCTCACAAATGAAACTCAGGACCATATGATTTCACTGGTCATCAAATATTCTATCAAATGTGAAAGTAAGTAATTATTCCAAGTGTACACAAACTCTTTCAGAAAATAGAGCAGAAAAAAGATATTTCAAGTCAATTATGGAGAACAGCATTATTACCTTGAAAAAAAATCAGAAAAGGACGTCCTTGATGCAAAAATCAGGCAATTACCTTACAAGGAAAGGCAACTACAGACTTTATAAATATAGATTCCAAAGTCCACAGAAAAATGTTTGCAAATTGAACCTAGAAAAATATTACAAATATATATATACACATACACACACACACACACACACACACACACACATATATATATATATATGAAATTTCCAAAAGGGTTTTATCCCAGGATCTTCACATTGAAAATTACAAAACATTGCTGAGAGAAACTAAAAAAGACCAGCAATTTCACTCCTCGGCCCCTACCCAACATTTTTAAAAACACATATCTATGTAAAGCTTCATGCATGAGTACAGCATTATGAATTATTCTTCACATTATTATGAATAATAGCAGCATTATTCATAATAGCTGCACAGTAAAAACAAATTAAATTTTCATCAACAGGATAATGGATGAATTTTGGTATAACAATAATCCAACATTAATCAGAAATAAAAGGAAAAATGCCATTGATAAATGGAACAATTTGGATATCTCTCAAAAACATCATTTGGAGCATAAAAAGCTCAGGCCAAAATAAAAACAAACTGCATGATTTTGTTTATATGAAATTATTGAACAACCATAACTACTCTACAGAACAGAAATCAGATCAGTGGTTGCCTAACTCCATGAGTTGGGGAGATTGGTAGAGTAACAAGGATACACTTTGAGGTGATAAAAAGTTACATATCTTGATTGTGGTGGTGGTTGCACATTGATATATACATTTGTCAAACTTCATCAAACAGTACACTTAAGTGTATTTTTAAGTGACCTATACATCAATTAATTTCATAATAAAAAATAAAAATAATAAAATTAATTCATTTGTTTTCTTTATTTTGGTAAATTGTTAGAAAATATTTAAGGCAAATTTGTTGAGTAGAGAACTTGTCTATAAGAAAACTCTCTTTAAATAAATCATGCAATGGAAAATTGTTTACTATGATTTACATAAACAAAATTCTTTAAGATATAATGACTAATAATGAAAAACTGGCTAATTAAATATGAATAAATTTTATGTTCCAAGTTCCTTAATAAGCTGTTTTCTCCCTCAGTTTTGAGCTTTTGCTTTTACATTTGAGAATGCTGAACAACCGTAACTACTTTTACATTTGAGAATGTAAAAGAAAAAGCTCAAAACTGAGGGAGAAAACAGGGCCTAGATGAAGTAGCTTTCCAAAGGCTATCATCATGAATCTCAATGTTTATAAACCCTGACTAGACCCGACTGGACAAACACCTGTAAGCAAAATGATCATAAATAATTGTCACTTACAGGGCAATATTTAGAAAAAAAAATAATTTTTAAATTTATTTAGACCCTGAATGGCTTTAGGGAACACTAATCTAGTTTACAGACTACTATTTTAGAAATCAAACATTTAGATGTTTTCTGTAGACATGATATGTTCTAGAAAAGCATATTGATGTTTTCTTCTGAAGTTTATCTAAGCCTATTCAATACACAAATTAAGCTTTAATATTAAATGCCTGATTTAATGTATTATTATGAAATTACCAGTAATATATATTTAAATATATATTTACATGTAAAATACAATATATTTAAATACACAAAAATAACATCAAACTGTGAGCATCATTAAAACATTTAATATAGTTATTCTGAGGAATAGAACCATAAGTTAGATCTTGTTATCTTTAGGTGTAAAAATATGCAGTATGTATCTAGTCAGGCAATGCATTTTAAATAAACCTTCTGAGAGATTTCAAATATAATGAACTTAATGAAAATTAACACAATGTGAAACAGCAGAAATGGAATCATGACCAGCACAAATTGATCTTCAGTCTAGAAATTCTAAAAAGATCATATTATAATTTTGAAAACAATTATCTTAAGAGGTTTTAATAACAGAAAAGCAATAAAGCTATTATGGTCACTCTCAGGAGTGTTCCCCTTCACCTTATTATTGAACTGTTAAAATAAAACACCAAAACTATGCTGTAAGCTCAGTGACCTCTCCATCAGTTAACACAAATGCTTTGTGTTCTGAGGCAAGGTCAAAACATCAAGTCAACCAAAGATCAAAAAGGTTTTGTGGCATAAATAACATATATTATGTAATTCCAAAGAGGTTGTGACCTGACTCAATTATAAGCAAGATATAAAAATGGATTTTTATTTGACTTCAAAATATTATGGATTAATTTAAATATAGTGACTGTAATCTCTTTTCCCATACATTGTTCCCAACCCATCTCAAGTCTCAAAATCTTTATTAGAAAACACTGGCTTCACATAAACAAAATAGTACCTCCAGTCTAGTGTGCATATACTTAATAAAAGCCTTTCAATTGCAAATGAACATTTTTATTTAACTTTGGATGATTGATACTTATGTTCTATATTTCTACAGATAGCACATCTGCTGACTTCAAAAGTGTCACACATTTGCTGAGAAAAAAGGTCTTAGCTATTCAGAGTTCATGTACTTACCAGTCTTACTTATTTCAAGTGGCTTATAAAGAAAAATGATATACTTGCTCTTTTCCTCTGCATGAGATGTGTATCTTAGTAACTTTATGCAAAATTTATTACTCTTCATACTCAGTTTAAGAAAAAACCTCCACAATATTTGTTTTTGAGCAATCGGACACCAATACAATTTCTTTTCAAGAATACAATACTCACTTTTGTTTTTATACTTCTATTAGGAATTATTTATGAAAATGCAGTCTCATTTATGAAATGATGTTTAAGATGTTAGATGAATGAGCAAACATGAACAAATTGTGCCTAAGGGGTGCTCTTTCATACTCTGCAGGAAAATTAGCTAAATTTAGATTTCATAAAACTCACCTTTATAAATATTAATATTGTATTTTTCAAGAGCACTATTTTGCTTCCCTTTCTCAGATGTATCACACATATTATCATAATAATAATCTAAAAATAGAGTGAAAATTGGCTGGTAAAATTGCCTGTAGGCTAACATTATTGTGAAACCATCAAGAATGAAATGCTGAATCAGGGGATATGGGATAGTGTCTTCTAGAAATTAATTCCAGTTGAGACTTTGTGAAACCTTAATCACATAATCCTGACTTACCAAAAATCATTCTTAAAAAAATTTAGTGTTCAGGATAACTTCTGGGAATAAAATTTTATGATAATCTGTAAGAAAGGCAAAGGCAACATAAGATGCACAGACTTCGCTTTCTGTGAGCCTCAAAAACTTTAATGATGACTCTGAGGACTGAAAAATTAATTTGATTTCTTTATCCACTCAGTTTGAGGCCTCTGTTGAAACTGCTGGTTAATAGCAATTGATGGTCTTTTCCTCTTACCCATTTTGTTCACTGAGAAGTGAACTGGCAGAACCAATTACTTCTTATTGTTAACCACAAAGCCTGGAGTCTCCATTTAGTTGGAAGACTGGATGGTATAAAGTGACCATAGGCCATGATAACATATTCTACCTATGCTTGCTATGTTATTCTAATACTCAATTTTTGTTTGGGAAAAATAATCATACAAGATACTAAGCCTATGCATGCAAACAAGTGATCAATTCAATAAAAATGAAAACAGTAAAACTATCTAATATTAATATGAGACATGAAAGGTTTTTCTGTCTCACATACGGTTTGAACTATAGTATTAAATATCAATTACCTCAATTTAACAATTTTACTCACATAATTTCACTTAACAATTACCATTCAGTGGTTTGATTGACTTCCACAGTTGTTTGAGAATTTTCAAAGTGGCTGTCACTTTGGAAGATTTTAATATTTTTTTTTCTCAGGGTAGGTTAGTTGTGTAAAGAAAGTGTGAATAAAAATTCTTTATTATACAATAGGATGTTCAACTGGAATGACTAAAGGGTGAGAAACTCATCTTACATCTTACATATTTGAATATTTTTAAATGTCTAGCATAGAATCTGGCATATACAGGGTACGCAATGTTTACTGACTTAATTCAATTCACTTTTGGGAGAATATTTTGCCTGACATATAATGCAGTGAAATCTAGTTCTAGCTTTTGTTAAAGAACATGGTAGGAAGTACTTTGAAGTCAGCTACTCATGGAGAGTGTTTTCTGGTTAGAGTTGCAATGCTACTGAAATACAGTTTTGTGCCTAGTTTGCCTTGTTTTATGCAATAATAATCATTATTCTTACATACTTTGACCTTATTTTTTATGGAGCGGATTCCTTATTTTCTCGTTTAATAGAAGCTCTTCCTAATTCTCGGTACAGAAATCTTTGAAATTTTTTAGTATATATATTTACATTTTGAGTGAGAAGAGAAATATAAAGAAATAAATTAATATTTATAAGCATATGTATATGCATATAATATCCATATCAAGAACACAAGAATAACTTTAAATATGCAAGTAGAAATATTTTTTAAAATACAGAGAATTTATAAAATACATGCATAGTTATTTATAAAACTGTATATAACTTTGGCACATAGAGTCTCAAAATTTTTAGTTTTAGTAACTTTCATGCACTGCTAATATAATTAATTATAAAAAACATATAAAATAAAAATATCCCATTTACATTTTTCTTTATCTAACTTTGACCGGGATAACATTTCAGAACAAAAGTATACCTACATCTTCACAAGGAAAAAATATAAAAAGAATGTGTATATGTCTTCATAACAAAGAGAAAAAAATTCAGAATTCTTTTTCTCTAAACATCTTTTGAAAATCGGATTATAATCTAACCAATCTGCAGTGTAAGGTAAATACAGTTCTGCACTATTTGAAGCACCAGACTTCAAACTTAACTATATCTAACTAGGAAAGTGTATATTTATACACATACATTCACACCATAATAAATATACAACATGTATATTTATGTACATACATGTGTATGTACATACATTCACAAGAACATTAATACTGTTACAACTAAAATTTATTTGTAGTACAATTCTACAAGCACATAAAATATTTTTAAACTCAGTCAAGACATAGTGTTTTACTGGCTACTATTTATGTCTTTTCGTATGATTTTAACAACTAAATGTTCACGAGAATGGGATAGTCAGGAACGATTTACCTTCAACCTTTAGTCAATATTTATTTTTTTATTGCTTTCAATATTTGAAATTGCCATTTTATGGAGTTACATTTTTACTATAAGTTCTTCTTATCATCCTATGTCTAGGTGTCAAAAAAAGGCTAGACGTCTAATACTCAATCATAGGTTTGTCTCAGATAAAAATACCTTCTTTTACTAAAACATATAAATCATTTTTGGGGCTATTTTATATAAGGAAATATAATAATATAAAGGACCTCACTATCCAGAATTGTCAATCCAACACTTTTTACAAACAAATGACTCTTCTAAAACTTATAAGCAAAAACAATTTCTAAGATTCTCATTGAATTAAGAGAAAAAAGAGGAAACAATGTAAAATATTCTATCTAATGTTAACACTCTTTTATATATTCTATCATATATTATAATTCTTGGATTTTTTAATAATTTTAATAATAAAGTATGTTAGTATATTTCGTGGCTTCACAATAAAATGGTCTACTCTTTATCAATCTGTTTGCTTTTTGTATGGAATTAGGGATAATCAAATGCCTGATTTATTGCCCAAAAATGCCCACAAAACATAGAGTAGTTGCAGATAGTACCCACACTTTCATAAGTATTTGAACTGTCACTTACTTTCCATTCTTTATAAAATTAAAATTACGTGCCTAATTATATTCACTTTTACCAATATATATTTAATTGATCAAGAACACTTATAATATCCAATTACCATACTAACACAGGAATAATATCCTTGGGAAATCATTTGGAAAACTCCAGGTCACCCACTTATATTGAACTAGACCACAGCACCAAATTTCAGTGCAAAAGTAGGATTTTATTCTGTAGTTTTTCTTTTCCAATGAGAAGGGGATGAAACATCCTAAACATAAATTCAATGTTCTCTTAACCTTCTCTCAGGATATATTATAATGCAATTATAATATATATTCCCTCAAATACAAAAGGAAAATATCATGAAGAGGTTTTTAAAAATTATGAATCCTGAAAGATAATAATAAGGCACTAATGTAGCAGATTATTTACTGTGAGAAAGAGAAATATGATGCTAGCATATTAGACAAGTGTCCTTACCCAGGCAGTGATCTCATCCTATAATGTTCCTTACTTTACTGCAAAGTTTAAATGTTTCCTCTGGAGTGTTAATACTATTGTGGCATCAATTTCTAACAAATATAAAGTACCCTACCTTTAAAAAAATGGATTAATATAAGGCATAATGCTGAAGTATGTGTCAAGTGTAACCTTTATAACTTTGCTTGTCAGGTTTTTCCATTAGAGACCTCATAAGCAGCCCCTGCATATCAGTCACAGTGTTCCCTGACAGGTTTAACCTTCCCAAGTGGCTGAATACACCATCTTCACTGCAGCCTATTGACCAAGGCAATAAGCCATTCTATATAGTGTATTAAAGTCATTTTCCACATGCTACCTCAGCACGACCCATTGTTCATGCCAGCTCCTGCTGACCATGGAAAACCTGCACTCCACACTAAATTGCTACACTTTACACCGTTACACCAGTTAAGCAATAAGCCCCCAACTGAATTGTTTTTTTCCTTCATAGTCTAAAAAGCACAGCGATTATCACAAGTGCTCAAGATGCAATTTTAGACTGTCAAAAATCCCTGCAAATAATTTAAACACTTAAAATATACGCTGACTGTGGAAACTTTATTTTTGTTATAATTCACCAATTCTTTGTTCCTGGATGCCTAAGGGTGGCAGGCCATCTGTGCAACTCTGAGCAGCCCTGGGCACTTGGTGTCAAAGGTTGTGTTTCAGCCCCATGAAATTCACCCCATCTCTGCTGAAATCAGCTTTGTTGCTAGACCCTGTGACAAATGAGTCCAATCTAGGCTGGGTGCCCTTGACTTGACCCTAGCCAAGGCAAACAATAGGGCAGACTCAGCCAGTGGAAAAGATGTTCTGCACTAATGAACCCAGCGGTGGCCACAGGTCAGTTAAAAAAGAGGGGATAATGTTCAGTCTTTTCAGGTGCACATTTATAATGAGCGAAGCACACAATCTCTTTCAGGATGGAGCACATAACACAAAGAACGTATTTGTACACTCATCAAGGCTAATGGACCCTGAGGGTGCAATAGGAATATGTTTTTAATTTAATCTTTATTGAATGACCTTACACACTTCATTTTCTCTGCATGGCACCATGAAATGGACACACTCTTATCAAGTTGAGAACTGAAAACAGATGAATATATAAATGACTGATACCTGCTGGGTATGTAGATGAATTTTCTTCCCTTATTTTCACCTCTGTCCATCCTGCTGCTGGCTCTCAGTACCTCCTAGGGATAGTTACCCTTAAACTCTTGTCTAGATTAGCCAGTCATGTAAACAAGAGAACAGCCCCTCAAAACCTGGCTAGACTAAACTTGAAAATGTTAACTGGTGAAGAACTAAACAGCTGTGTTCATTATGCTAAAAGAAAATGTCTTCTTATTTCTTCTAGAGCAAAGCCTGAATGCAAGTAAGTCCTGGCGGTAGAGGGAGAATTGTACATAGTGAGTCCAAAGTACATTACAGTAACTTCTCTTCACGATTAGAAATTGTTTTTTAGCCTAACAACCAAGAGATCGATTAAACTTCCTCAAGAATCTGGTTTTTCAATATATTGTGCAATTCTTTAGATGAACAGCACAAAAGTAAAACAAATTTTATCTACCTTTTACAATAATAGCAATCACTTCCTTCTGTTATCTGATGCCGGCAACTTTGGTATAAAACCCTGGTATTCTATAACATTACCTTGCAAAATCAGGCAAGAGTTTAAATGCAAACATAATCTCATCTTTACAATACTCAACTCATGGAAATATTTAGAATTGTGTGCTATGGATGCCAATGTCATTTTAGAATATCAATACACCTTCACCCTAATTTTTGTATAGCTGATATAAATTTTTAAAGAAAGTGAAGCCAATCCTTTAACAATGAAACAGGGAATGTAAAAGGCTTTATAGGCTTTTATTCTTCATCTCCTTAGCTCCTGCTGTTAAAACCCCATTTATGGGATGCATTATATTTCAAAGACACAATTAGAAAATTCTCTTCAGTGATGCAGAAGGCAGTACAGGTGGGTAGGCAGGTGTGGGAAAGTAAAGTTTGTGAGCTTTTTTCTTATTAAAATTATTCCTATTATTTATGGTCTTCATCAATCTTATGACATGTTTCATTCGTATTAAACACTCAGGCCTTGGCAAATGGTTAATTGCTAGCCCAAGGCAAGTGACTTCAAGCTAGCTAGGCATACAGAAGTTCAGTTTACCCTGTTAAGAAACTAATGGGTAAGTTGTAAATCATGGTCAGAGTTATTTGCATCCTATTCCTTTTAGCTCAACTGCTAGTTGATGATAAACTTTAATAGGCTTGTCTGAAAAAGTGGTTTGATTTCACTTGCGTTCAGAAGGAATTCATATACAGCGTTAGAGAAACATTAGGTAAAGTTTACAATTATTTTCTTATTTTTAAAATATGTTAGATCTAATTTGTTATGGGATGAAATAAAATTGAAGCTATTTAAAAATGTCATAGACTTAATACTTGGGATTAATGTGAGAGAAATTCATATATGTCCATTTTGAGTAATATCTAGTGTTGGCCATTGGCTATTGGGATTACTAATCTCTAAAAGGAAGATTAGCTAATTTTTTTTCACTTAAATTTGTAAGGGCAGACATCTTTATCCTTACACACTATATAACTAAGTGACTATTACTGTTGGAAAATTAAAGTCACATATTAGAAAGAGAAAGTGTTAACTGAAACTGGAAAGCAAAACCACTTTTTAGTTACAATTATTTGGTTTTCTGCAATTAGAAAATTTATGTATATTTGATCTCTAATTCCTCAGCTTTTCCACAGCACTCTGTATGTGTATTTGTGGACTTTTTGGTCTCTAATATGAAGACAAAAATTTTGGGACTGGTGGCCAATGAATTCTAGCCTAAATAGATGTATTCTCTAGCACAGAGTGAAGTGTCTCTTTTCTTAACGAGACTACTGTATACAGATATGAAATTCTCCCAGTCTGAATGGCTTGCTCATATATACACTGTAAATTGTGAATGGCTTCAGGAACTACAAAAAGAGTGCTTCTTCTGGTGTAAGATGAGCTGACCTACTCCTGTTGACTTCGAAGGCCCTTGTTTTCTTTAGTGAGAAATAAGGAATTCTGGTGACATAAGTGGCTACCTCACAACAGGTAGCCGTATTGCCTCTGGATTTGGCCTAATGCAGAAGAAATGAGCTTTGGTCAGGTATACATACTTCCTGTTCTGCCAGAACTGAAACTTCCTTTTATCAATTCAGTTATTAAAACAACCCAAGCAGTCTCCCTCTCACAGCAATTTTCCTACCACCTACTTTTCTGAGAAAATGAAAGTCAATAGCCACTCACTGTTCAATCTATATTTTATGGTTTCTATCTGCACTGTTCTACGGAAACAGCTCTCACCTGAGTCCCTAATGACCTCCTTGATATTAAATCAAGCATAATTTTCATAGCTGTAGTAAAAAGGAGGGACTTTCAGAGTGCAAATGCTTGATGCTACACGTACTAGCTGTGTGACCTTGGGAACTTGCTTCACCTTTCTGCTCCTCTGTACTCTTAAATGCAAAATTGTGAGAATATTAGTATTCATCTTTTAAGGTTGCTGTAAGTATTAAATAAACTAATCTATATAAGGTGCTAAGGAAGTACTTGGCAACTTGTAAGCATTAAATTGGAGTTAGTTCTTTTTAATTGTTGATGTATTGATTTTATCAGCATTCTGTACCAATCACTCTGCGTCTTAAAACACCCTTTTTTCCTTACTTCATATCAAGTCAATTCAATATCACAAAAGTCTCCTGAATTCTTTCCATATATATATGCACTCAGTGAAGTGCAGACTACCATTATCTTTGGCATGGTTATTACAGGCCTATATGTGTTTATCCACACAGCTGTACCATTTAGACAAAGTCCTCTTGCTGTCATGCAAATCTGATTATTCATTGCTTTATTTAAAACTATTCAATGTTTTTCTACTGGTTTTTCAATAATGCAAAATTTCTTAAAGTGGCCCCAAATGATCAGACCCAAATCTCTATGTATTCAGCCTCTTTTCATAGCCAGCTTACTCCTTTCTCTCATCTCTAGTCACAGTAAACACTCTTTTAGTCCTTTTTGATGACCATCTCTCCTCCTACCAATATGCCTGAAATGCTTTTATCTCCCTTCTTTGACTAAAAAATCCTTACTCATCCTTCAGACCTTAACTCAATGACCTGACTAAAAAATCCTTACTCATCCTTCAGACCTTAACTCAATGATGACAGTTTTAGAAAGGTTTTCTGTGACCTTCCTGTCTATTCCAAATTCTACCATTAAATGCACTGAGGAAAACATGTGTTTTTCTTTCTTATTAGCTATTATATTTGCAAGCTTATATTTTATTTGTGTGATTTTTTTAAAAGTAATATTTGCTTATCTGCATGAGATTATAAGTCCCATGGGAGCAGAGTGGTGTTGAATTTTGATCTTTACTATATGCTTGAGCCTAGCACCATGGTGAATTAATGCATTTATTGTGCCCTTTGTCATTGAATTTACTAGATAATAGGCTGAATTCAGCAAATGTTAGATCATTTCCTTTTATACATTTGTCATATTCTACCTTGCAGAAACTCCATGTACACCCAGCTTATTTCCTATGCCAAATGTAAACTCTTTGAAGGCAAATATTGTGTTTTTTTGTTCAACATTTGTGCCATGTATTAATTTCTTACTGGTGGTATAACAAAATGCCATAAATTTTGTGGCTTAAAAACACAAATATCTTATATTTCTTGAGGTCAGAAGTCAGAAATGGGTTCCACTGGGCTGAAATAAAGGATTGTCAGGATTATGTTCCTTCTGAAAGCTGTAGGGGAGAATCCTCTTCCTTGCCTTTTCCAACTTCTAGAGGCTGCCTAGTTCCTTGCCTTGTGGCTCCCTTCCAACCTCTTCCAACCTGCTGTTCAAAAGACAGCAACAGCCATTTGAAATTTTCTGACATTGTATCACTCTGATTCTCATGGGTCTGCCTGTTCTTTCACTTATCAGGCCCTTGTGATTAGATTGAGCTCACCTGGATCATCCAGCTGACCCTTCCGATCTCAAAGTCAATTGATTAGCAATCTTAATTTCATCTGCAACCTTAATTCCCTCTTATCATAAGTTCAGGGAATCATGGTGGGTCATTTGTGGGCTATTATTCCATCTGCCACAGACCTCAATATCACCTTACATAGTGTTTTACGTAGAGTACATGATCCAGAAATTTTTCACATAAAATGTAATCTACAAGGAAACTTGAAATCATATAATTATTAAGTCATGTAACATTGAGGCTTAGAATGTAGCTTAGCGGCTAAATAGATCTTCATCTTATATATAAGGGAAGACGGGAGACTTGAGAAAGTACTCTATGTCACATGTTTCATTAATGGCAAAAGCGAGATGCCACATTAAACTTTTAGTCCCTAGCCTAGGAGTCTTTCATATAGTTTATTAATGAAAGTTGGGAAGAATATGTGACAACTCATTGTAGCTCATAAATTTTGACTTCAAGCTCAATTACCTTTAAATTTTTCTATGAAATAGAATAATATTTTTCTTACAGGCCACGTTGCTGGACAGGAAAAGAAGAAAAAACAGATTTAACTTATAATCAAAGGAATTTAAGTGACATGTAATAATTATCCTCTTAAGACCTTTTGATACACAGACTGAGGGATTTATTACACAACATTTTTTGTAAAAGTATTTCAAGGATTATTAGAATTTTTAAAATATTTTAAATTATTCTATGTAAATACGTATTCACAAAGACTTTAGACAACCAGATACAACTTTTATATTTGCTAACAGGCAGAATAATTATTTAGAATTGATGTCAAATACAAAACAAAATTGGATGTTTTTTAAAGAGGAATAGGAGAGCATTGTATAAATAAAATGGAACTAGATCTTGATGATAATCATTTCAGCCACCTAACCACCATTTATTCAACTCTGCATTGGACATAAAATTATCTGCTTCAAAGAATGTTATGCTTATGAAATGGATTGTTGTACATGGAAACAGCAATGAAATGCTTAGCTTATGTAAGTCACCAAAAAATTTTTTTTTAGTTTCCCTTCTTTCTCTTTCCACATCTAAAGATAAATAATGGGTAATTCAAATCAGTATAAATTATGGAGGATTTTAAAATGTAATTACATCTTTGATGTATAATATGTATTTTTCACTTTTGTCTCTTTTAACTTCCAAATGATGAAGTAATATGAAGTAATGGAATCAGACAAATCTGGATTTGTATCCTGGCTCCTTCATTTTCTACTCAAATAGTTCAGTTTCTATATCTCATTTGGAAAATTTCTCATGGAAGTTATTGTGAAAATTAAACAAAATAATCCATACATAGTCCTTAGTTCTCTCTTATTTTTATCCTACACTACCTGGCATCTTCCCACTCTTCTGCTTTTCTATTCTTGCTGTTCTAATTAATCTGCTTTCTCCTAAATGATTTTGAGAGTTTCCCAAAGGACTGCTTCTACTTCTGATTGTCCCTCCCTCCAATCATACTGAGGTTGGATGTATGTTCTCCAAGCATAGCCCTGGCCATGTGATTGCTCTGTCCTCAAATATTTTATACTCCCACTATCAACGAAATACATTTGTAGATGTTTTTTGAAGTGTCAGCCCAGCTCCACCATCATCTCAGAGAAATTCTCCCATAGAAATGAACCTAGGCATAGAACACTCACCCAAGTTGAAACTATAAAATTTCCTCCTAATGGAGTTTGACAGTGAGATGGAAGCACACTGGTCATGCTCTTATGCTAGAGATGAGAGATTAAAACATTGACGAGCAGAACCAGTGGTTTGTGAGGTACACCTGCAAATTGATAACAAATTCCCTCTTTTGCTTATGATAATGGGGTGCACTTTAGTTACTTCAAACTGAAAATGACTAAGACAATAATAAACCAGATACTGAAATCTTACCGATCTTTTTTCATACTTTGTTTGTGTCAATCAGATGTTTCATTTTTAGGCCTTTTGCTTCCTTGTTTCTGTACTTTGGCAAATATATTTCAATTGTAGTTCCTTGTCCAGAATGTTCTTTTTTGGTTCCAAATTTCTCTGAATATAAATATAATTTCTTTTTAACCATGCTCTAACACAATAAAATGTTTTTCAAGTGAGAGAACATACCTTCTTCTTTTGAGCCTCCATAACCTATGTTTTTATTACTCTATATTATTCTGATCTTTATTTTTGGTTCTCCCCAAGTTTTTCACATTTATCTTTATAAGACAACTTAACCCTTTTTTGTTCTGAAAAGAAACACAAAAATAAATTACTTAATGATAGCCTTATATTACTAAAATTTTATATCATTTTATATGACTTGGTTGACTATGAATTCCTTGAATATATATTCCACATATTATTCATTATTTGATATTGTCAAATGATGCCTAGAATAGGCATTATAGACATTTAGAAAGTTTGCTAAACTGTTCATTTAAATAATATCCATAAGAACCTTTATGGTTTTGAAATGCAAATATAAATTATTTCATTAAATTTATGACTAATGTATAAAAGATGTGAATTTTCTACTCTAAAGTTATTAGATTCAGACATAAATAATTTTATACAAATTCATATCATTCTATATTGACTTCCTAGGAAGCTCTCATGCTTGGTGCTTTAGTGACAATGGCTAGTTCTTAAAGAGATGTGACAATGAAAATATAACTTCCCCTAAGGCTTCTGTATTAGTCACGGTTCTCCAGAGAGACAGAACCAACAGGAGATAGATTAGATAGATAGATAGATAGATAGATAGATAGATAGATAGATAGATAGATAAAGAGGGGATTTGTTAGGGTAATTGATTCACACAATTATGGAGGCTAAGCAGTCACACAATAGACTGTCTGAAAGCTGGAGATCCTGGGATGCTGATAGCATAGCTCACTTCAAGTCTGAAGTCCTTGGGAAGTCAATGGTGTAACACTCAATCTGAGGTCAAAAGTCTGAAAACTCGGGGGCCACTGGTGTAAGTTCTAAAATCCAATGGCCAGAGAGCCTGGAGTTCTGAGAAACAAGGGCAGGAGAAGACAGGTGTCCCAGCTTGAAGGAGAAGACAAAAGAGCAAATTCTCCTTTCCTTTGCCTTTTTGATTTATCCAGGTCTCAACCTATTGGATGTTGCCTCCTCACATCTGGTGGGCGTAGTTCTTACTCAGTCCACTAATTCAAATGCCAGTGTCTTCCAGAAACATTCTCACAGACACACCTAGAAATAATGCTTTACCGATTATCTGGGTATCCCTTAACCTAGACAAGTTAACATTGAAAATTAACAATCACATCTCTCTTTCTCATCTAGTATCTCTCTATTTGAAGGAAAACTATTATTCTTATTAATATCTGTTGGATGAATAAAAAGAATATATAATTACAAAAATGGAGTTATCTTCTGTCTTAGATATTCATATGTGATAATATAATAATTTCTTGTTATATCTTCTTTCCACTCCTTACGATCCTATCCTATGGGATAGTCTCACTTATTTATTGATCTCCTTAAAAGAGTATGATATCATAGCTAATTTTTATCCTCATAGAAAGAACAATTTATTAAAATTGGGATGTTTTAAGAAAAAGAACCTAAAAATGTCTAACAGTTTTGTCATTACGTTTGTTTATTACTGGCATATGACTTTTTGTGTGAGTACTATAAAAGTTCAACTAAAGAGTTTGTAACAAATTGTTTTAGTTATTTATTTCTGTGTCGCCAAGTATCTCAAAATATACTGGCTTAAACCAATGACTATTTCAATATTTCTTGATGGGCACTGCTCAGCTGGGCAATTCTTCTGGTCTTGTGGTGTTGACTAAAGTCACTGGTCATACTCAACTGGCAGATGGGCTTGTCTAGAGGGTTTGGCATCTGATGAGGATCACTGAGAGGCTAACTTTAGCACCAGAGGCTTCTCCAGTACGGTAGTGTCAAGAACTGTGAAGGCTCTGGGATTTTACACAAACTGTAAGCAACTAGCCTATGTCAGTTCAGTGGATGTTAGTAGAAGACATTAAACTTGTAGATCACAAATAAATGACTTCCTTACTCAAAACACAAGAAATAACATCAGCATAAGCATATTTGTATCCATTTCCCATGCCTCCGAGTCCCACAGGGTAAGGCAGACGGTCCTAGGTGGATACCAGCACACACAGTGGGTTGTATTTCAGAAAAGAAATCCCAAGCTTAGGTAACCTGAATATTTTACAATGGTTGGTAATCATGCCTGCCCTCTGCTCTGAAGGGAGATACTTTCTGTATCTTTCAAGCAATAATGGATCAACATTTTCCAAAATGTGATGAGAAAACATGAACAGAAGAAATTCAAATTAAACCATACCTAGTAACATCATAGCAAAAACTGCTGCAAATAAAAGATAAAATAAAAATCTTAAAAATAGTAAAAGAAAAAACATGCATTGTATTCATAAAAACAATATGATGTAAATGATGTATGATATAAATTATGGCTGAATTCTTATAAAAATAATTTTGGCCAGAATAAAATGTAATGACATTTTTGAATAAAGAAAAATGTGCCATAAAATTTTATATCCAGTGAAAATACCCATCCAAAATGAGTTGAAATGAACATATTTTCAGATGAAAAATAGTTGAGAGAATTCATTCCCAGAAGACCTAAACTATATGAAATTCAAAAGGGGGTTCTTGAAGCTTATGGAAAATTACAGCAGGTGGAAATTCAGAATGATTGGAACTAAATGAACATCACTGGGAATGGCAAATACGTGTGTAAATGTAGAAAACTACGCAATCAATATAGACTGACACATCAAGGAAACATATTGTAATATCAGCAATCATGAAAAAATAATAAAGATAGAAATAGGAAGAGAAAATAAAGTCATTAAAATGAAACACTAAAACTTACTAGGTTTATCTAAATAAAAGCAGGAATGAGGGACAGAAGAAAAGAGAAAGATTAAATTAGTTTTAAAACACACTGAAAAAAATAGCTGACTTAAATCCAAACACATAATTAATGATAGGTGTCTACGGACAAAACATTCATATTAAAAGCAGATAGTTTTAGAATTTATTTGAAAACAAAATATGATTAAAGGCAGTCTATAACTGATATAATTAAACATACAGATGAGAAGTAGACTAAATGTAAGGGATTGAAAACGTATTATGCCACCTTTATGAAGGAGAAAACTAAGGTGACTTTATTAATATTAAACAAATTAAAGAAAAGGGTTTCACTAGAGGTAAAAGGATTGATTTTATAATGAGAAATGAACAATGTACCCAGAATACATAAAATAATATATTTGTATAAATGTAATAATAATTTATATAGCAATGTTATACAGGTGCTGTATAGCAATGTTTATATAGCAATGTTATACCTGTGTTATAAAATGCAACATAGAAGACAAATTATTTTCAAATATATATGAAATGTTCACAAAAATAGCCCATATGTTGGGTCATATAATTGGTCTCAATAAATTTCAAAATTACATTAAAACCAGTAATAATAAAATATTTAAAAATACAGAAATAATTTAAAATTAATTTACATTTTCTAAATTGCTGATGGGTCAAAGAAGTCAGAAGAGAAATTAGAAAATATTTTGAACTAAATTAATAACTAAATGCAACATATCCAGATATATGTGACGTGGCTAATGAAATGCTAAAATGGAAGTTATTAGCTTCAATTGTTGATATTACAAAAGAAGAAAGGCTTAAAATCAATAATAACATTTTCCAATTTAAGAAGATAGCAAGTCGAATAAAGGAAATGGTAAATATGACAGTAGAAATTAATGGAATAGAAGAAGGCAAGAAGCATACAAAATCAATAAAGCAAAAAGTTGGCTATGTGCTAAGATAGTAAAATTGGTAAACCCCTAGAAATAATGAACCAAAAGATGGAAAAGAGAAATTACTACTAGAAATATAAACAGTCTTATACCAATAAACAACTTTATGCTCAAATTATTTCTCTGCTGAATTTTATGAAATATTTAAGAGATGAATAATACCAATCTTGCACAATCTACTTAATCAAAAAGGAGGGAAAACTTCTTCTGAACTTGTTATACGGTGAGCATAAGCCTGTTGCCAAAGCCATACAAAGATATTACAAGAAAAAAAATTCTAGTATCTTTTAGAAACATTATCATAAACATCTTAAGTGAATAAAAGCAATTCAAATTTAGCAAAATGTAAAATAATACATTATAACCAAGTGATGCTTATCATAAGAATATTTTAAGAATATTTTGATGTTTCTAGCATTGTTTTATGTTCAAGATTATATTAGCTATTTAGAGTCTTTAGCAATTGCATGCAAATTTTAGTATTGTTTCTTCTATTTCTGTGAAAGATGCTGTTGGAATTTTGATAGAAATTGCATTGAATCTGTAGATTGCATTGAGTGGCATAAACATTTGACAATATTCATCCTTCTGACCCATGAACATAGAATATGTTGCCATTTGTGTCTTCAATTTTATTTGTCAGTCCTTTACAGTTTTTAGTGTACACATTTTTCTCCACTTCGGTTACATTTATTCCAAGCATTTTATTCTTTTTCATGCTATTGTAAATAAAAATATTTTCTTAATTTTTTTGGATAGTTCATTGTTAGCATATGGAAACACAACTGATTTTTGTGTGTTGATTTTGTATCTTGCAACATTACTGAATTCACTTATTAATTTTAACAGATTTTTGGTAGTCTCAGCATTTCTGTATATAAGATAAGGTCATATGGAACAGAGATCATTTTACTTCTTTTCCAATTTGGATGGTTTTTTCCTTGCCTGGTTGCTCTGGCTATGACTTCCAGTGCTATGCTGAAGAGAAGTGGCAAGAGTGGGCATTTGTGACTTGTTCCCGATCTTAGAGGAAAAGTTATCACCTTTTCACTATTTAGCATGATGTTAGCTGCGGACTTGCAATAGCTGGCCTTTATTTTATTGAAGTACATTCCTTCTATACTTAATTTGTTAGGAGTTTTTATTATGAAAGTATGTTGAATTTACTAAGTGCTTTTTTTTGTAGCTATTGAGATGATCATGATTTTTGTTCTTCGTTCTCTTAAAGTGGTATATCACATTTATTGACTTGCATATGTTAAACCATTCTAGGATCCTAGGGATAAATCTCACTTGATCACGGTGTCTGATCCTTTGAATATCCTGTTGAATTCCTGATTTCAAATTATATTAATATAGTAATCAAAACAGTATGATACTGTCATGAACACAGACACAGACTGATGGAATAAAATAGAAAGCAAAGAAATAAACCCTGTGTATACAGTCAACTAATTTTTGACAAAATTGTCTATAATACACAAAGGACAGTCTTGATAAATGGTGTTAAGAAAATTGGATATCCACATGCAAATAAATGAAATTGAATACTTACCTTACATCATAGGCAAAAATCAACACAAAAATGGTTTAAATATTTAAATATAAGACCTGACACCACAAAACTCCTAGAAGAAAACGTTGGGCAAAGTTTCATGAAGTTGGTCTTAGCAATTATTTTTTGGATATGACCCCACAGCATAGACAATAAAAGCAAAAACAAATAAGTGGGACCATATTAAACTAAAATGTTTCCGCACAGCAAGGAAAACAATCAACACAATGAAAGGGCAACCCATGAAATGGGAGACAATATTTCTAAACCGTATGTCTGATAAGGAGTTAATATCCAAAATATCTAAGAAACTCAAACAAGTAAATAGCAAAAAAAAAAGCAAAATAACTCAATTAAAAAATGACTAAAGGACCTGAGCAGACATTTTTCTAAAGAAAACATAAAAATGGTTACTAGGATATGAAAATATGCTAAACATTATAAATTATCAAAGAAAGGCAAATCAAAATGTATTACCCTCATTTAATCATTCCACAATGTATTATATATAGAGAAATATTACATTATATCCTATAAATATATGCAATTATGATTTGTCAATTAAAACTAAAATAAAATATTTTTAAAAATATTACCTCACACCTATTAGAATAATTATTATCAAAAAGTCAAAAGATAACAAGCTTTGATGAGGATATAAAGAAAACGGAACACTTACGCATTGCTGGTGAAAAGGTAAATTAGTAGAACTCATATACATGTATATACATACATACATAAAAGGGAATATCATTCAGCCTTGAAAAAGGAGGTCGCGACATTTGCAAAAGCATAGATAAACCCATAGGTCCAAGGAAACATGCATGTGCTCACATATATATGGAATTTTAAAAAGTCAAACTCATAGAAAGAGTAGAATGGTGGTTACAAGAAGTTGGGAGTTGGGGGATATGAGGAGATGTTGGTCAAAGGGTATGAACTTTCAGTTATAAGGTGAATAAGTTCTAGAGATCTGAAAAGACCAATAAGTTCTGAAATTAAAGGAGTAATACATAGTCTACCAACCAAAAATATCTCAAGACCAGACAGATTCACAGCTGAATTCTACCAGATGTACAAAGATGAACTGGTAGCATTCCTACTGAAACAATTCCAAAAAATTGAGGAGGAGGGACTCCTCTCTAACTCATTCTACGAGGCCAGCAACAGCCTGATACCAAAACCTGGCAGTGATACAACAAATAAAGAAAACTTCAGGCCAATATCCTTCATGAACATTGATGCAAAAATCAACAAAATACCTGCAAACTGAATCCAGCAGCATATCAAAAGCCTTATTCAACATGATCAAGTAGGCTTCATCCCCAGGATGCAAGGTTGGTCCAATATATGCCAATCAATAAATGTGATTCGTCACATAAGCAGAACTAAAGACAAAACCCACAGGATTATCTCAATAGATGCAGAAAAGGCTTTTGATAAAATTCAGCATCCATTCATGTTAAAAACTCTCAATAAACTTGGTACTGAAGGAACATGCCTCAAAATAATAACAGCCATATGTAACAAACTCACAATCAACAGCATACTGAATGGGCCAAACCCAGAAACGTTCTTCTTGAAAACTGGCACAAGACAAGGATGCCCTCTGTCATCACTTCTATTCAACATAGTATTGGAAGTTCTGGCCAGTGCAATCAAGCAAGAGAAGTAAATAAAGGCCATCCAAACAGTAAGAGAGGAAGTCAAATTATCCGTGTTTGCAGATGACATGATCCTATATCTGGAAAACTCCATAGTCTCTGTACAAAAGCTTCTTAAGCTGGTGAACAATTTCAGCAAAGTTTTGGTACACAAAATCAATGTGCAAAAATCCCTAGCATTTCTATACACCAACAGCCAAGCTGAGAGCCAAATCAGGAACAAACTCCCATTCACAACTAACACAAAAAGAATAAAATATGTAAGAATACAGCTAACTAGGGAGGTAAAAGATTTCTACGAGGAGAACTACAAACCACTGTTCAAAGAAATCACAGGAGACACAAACAAATGAAAAAACATCCATGTTCATGGATAGGAAGAATCAATATCATTAAAATGGCCATACTGCCCAAAGCAATTAACAAATTGAATGCTATTCCTATTAAACTAACATTGACATTCTTCACAGAACTAGAGAAAGCTATTTTAAAATTCAAATGGAACCAAAATAGAGCCCCAAGAGCCAAAGCAATCCTAAACAAAAATAACAAAGCTAGTGGCATCACCCTATTTAACTTCAACCTCTAGTACAGGGCTACAGTAACCAAAACAGCCTGGTACTGGTACAAAAACAGATATATGGACCAATAAAACAGAACAGAGAACCCAGAAATAAGACCACACACCTACCACTATCTGATCTTCAACAAACCTGACAAAAACCTTTCTCAATAAATGGTGCTGGGATAACTGGCTAGCCATATGCAGGAGGTTGAAACTAGACCCTTCCTTACACCAATACAAAAATTAAAATAAGATGGATTAAAGTTAATATGCAACGCAAAACTATAATATAAAAAACTCTGGAAGACAACATAGGCAATACCATTTAGGACATAGACACAGACAAAGATTTCATGAAGAAGACACCCAAAGCAATTGCAACAAAAGCAAAAATTGACAAATGGGATCTAATTAAATGAAAGAGCTTCTGCACAGTGAAAAAACCTGTCAACAGAGTAGACAGACAACCTAGAGAATGGGAGAAAAATCTTGCAAACTATGAATCCAACAAAGGTCTAACATCAAGCATCTATAAGGAACTTAAGCAAATTTACAAGAAAAAAACAATCCCATAAATAAGTAGGCAAAGAACATGAACAGACACTTGGCAAAAGAAGACATACATGCATCCAGCAATCATTTGTAAACAAAAAAAAAAAAGACCTCAACATCACTGATCATTAGAGAAATGCAAATCAAAACCACAATGAGATACCATCTAACACCAGTCAGAATGGCTATTACTAAAAAGTTAAAAAACAACAGATACTGGTAAGGTTGTGGAGAAAAGGGAACACTTATACACTGTTAGTGGGAGTGTAAATTAGTGTAGCCATTGTGGATGACAGTGTGGCAATTCCTCAAAGACCTAAAGACAGAAATAGCATTCTACTCAGCAACCACATTATTAGGTATATATCCAAAGGAATATAAATCATTCTGTTATAAAGACACATGCACACATATGTTCATTGCAGCACTATTCACAATAGAAAAGACATGGAATTAACATAAATGCGCATCAATGATAGACTGCACAAAGAAAATGTGGTACATATACACCATGGAGTACTATAGCCATAAAGAGAGCGAGATCACGTCCTTTGTAGGGATATGGGTGGAACTGGAGGCCATTACCCTTAGCACACTAACACAGGAACAGAAAACCAGATACCGCATGTTCTCACTTATAAGTGAGAGCTAAATGATGAGAACACATGGACACATAGAAGTGAAAAATACACACTGGGGCTTTCAGAGGTCGGAGGTTGAGAGGAGGGAGAGGACTGGGAAAAATAACCAGTAGGTACTAGGCTTAATACCTATATGACGAAGTAATCTGTACAACAAATCATGACACAAGTTTACCTATGTAGCAAACCTGCATTTGTACCCCTGAACCTAAAACTTAAAAAATTTTTAAAAATAAAGATGGTTGTAAGGATAGAAAAAATAAATAAATAAGTTCTGTACAGCATGGGGAATTTAGTTAATAATAATGTATGGTACATTTGAAATTTGCTGAGAGAGTAGATCTTAAATATTCTGATCCCACCCACCCACATCCCTACACACTGACACACACACAGAGCTAATTGTGTAAGGTAATTAGCATGATTGCAGGAATGATTTCACAATGTATATGTGTACCAAAACATCAAAGTGTCTAGCTTTCATATATAGAACTTGATTTGCAATCATACCTCAATAAAAATAAAAAAAAATGTAAGGATATTTTAATATTTGAAATTGAGTCGTGTAATTCACCATATTAACAGAATAAAGGAAGAAATTAGCCATCTTAATAGATACAGAGAAAGCACTTGATAACATGTAGTACCCACTCTTGATAATAAAATAGAATACAAGAAATCTTCCTCAATTTGCAATGGGCATAAACCAAAAAATTTACGGCTAACTTTGTACTTAATAATGAAATACTATACTTGTTCTCCCTAAGAGCCAAAACAATGAATAGATGTGTACTCTCAACATCTCCATTTTTATCAATATTTTATTAGAGGTTTTACCAGTGACATAGGTCAAGGAAAACAAATACATTTTGGAATAGAAGAAATAAAATTGCTTCAATTTATAGAGGAAATAATATTCTAGGAAAAAAAGAAACCCAAGGAATCTACAAAGCAAATACAAGAACTAATGGTGGGTTTAGGAAAGTTACAGTGTATAAGACTCCTAAACAAACGTCAGTTGTATTTCTATTTACTTGCAGCAAACAAATAAAAATGAAAATAAAAATAAAAAAGCAATTCCATTCATGTGTCAAAAATCATACAAACAATAGCAAACTGCTGAGAGAAGATCAACAATAAATAAATGAAGATATATACCACATACATATGCCAATTCTTCCCAAATTGATCTATAGATCCAACTCAATTTCAATAGGATATACATATATGTATATCTGCATGTGCATGTGTGTATATATGTACATATATGTATAGACATAGATACACATGTATACATATATACATATATACATATACAGATACAGATCTGTATACATGTGTGCATATATACATGTATTCATATTTTTAGTTATTTGCTTATTTTTTGAAACAGTGTGTCTTGTTCCATTGTCCAGGCTGGGGTGCAGTGGCATGATTTGGCTCACTGCAGCCTTGACCTCTTGGGCTTAAGTAGCTGGAACTAGAGGGGCACACCACCATGCCCACTTAATTTTTGCCTTTTTGTAGAGATGAGTACTTTCTATGTTGTCCAGGCTGGTCTCAAATTCCTGACCCCAAGCGATCCTCCCGCTTCAGCCTCCCAGTGTTGGGATTACAGGTGTGACCCACTGCACCTGGCCCATATGTTTATATATTGAGAGAAAGAAAAAGACATAGATTGTTTCTAAAATGAATATAATTATATAAAGGCCAAAAAATAATTTTTTTCTAATTTAATTTAATTTTTTATTATGCTTTAAGTTCTGGATTACATGTGCAGAACATGCAGGTTTGTGGGTATACATTGGTATACATGTGCCATGGTGGTTTTCTGCACCCATAGTTATACTACCTAATTTCAAGATTTATTGTATAGCTACAGTAATGAAGAGAGTAAAATATTGGCATAAAGATGGACAAACAGATAAGGGGAAGAGAATAGACAGTACAGAAAAGACCCATATTTATACTATGAATTCCTTTTTAATAAAGACATCAAAGCATTTTAATGGAGGAACGAAGTATTTTCAACAAAGGGTGGAACAACTTGATATCCGTTGGGAAAAAAAAAATAACCCACAACCCTCATCTCACAAATATATTTGATAAATACGTTTGTCAAAATTCATGAAACTCAAAACTCAAAAACTCATACCACCCACAAAACATTAATAAGTCACAATTTCCATTTCACGCCATTTGTAAAATTTAACTAGACATGAATCATAGATATAAATGCATAAGTTACAGCATAGGAAAAGAAATTTAAGGAGAATATCTTTACAAACTAGGGGAAAGCAGAGATCTCTTTGAGAGGGTATATAGATAGCATTAGCCATAGAAATTAATAAATTAGACAACATCAAAGTTAAAATGTCTGCTTGTCAATAGACACCATTAAGAAAATAAAAGATGACATACAGTAAGTGAAACTATTCTCAGATCTAAACTCACAAAGGACTCATATTTAAAATAGAGACAGAAATTCTATAACTCAGGAGTTAAATGATAAGCAGCCAAATAAAAAGTAGCCCAAAATAATATATTAATTTCACAAAGATAGATATATGAATGGTCAATTAATACATGAAAAATACTCAATATTATTGGTAATGAAGAAAATTTAAATTACATTAAGATATCATTACATACATATTAAAATGTCTAAAATTTTACAAACTAAAAATTTCAAATGTTGGCAAGGAGGTAGAGCTAGTAGAATGTTCTTACTCTGATGGTGGAATTTTAAGATGGTTCAATCACTTTGGAAAACCACTTAGCAGCTAAGCCTACACTGACCCGAGGATCTGACAATTCTACTCTTGCAAATTTATGTAATAAAAATATATCTATGCCAAAATATTTGTATGCACATTTTACAGCAACTTTATTAATAACTGTTAAAAACTGTAAATCACTCAATGCCTGTCACCAGAAGAATGGATAAGTGAATTATAGTATATTTATATTAAGAAGTACTATTTATCAATAAAAAGATACACTACTAATTCATGCAATAACATCAATGCTTCTCCTACATTCAATATGTATGATGTTACATGTGTATGATTTTATATGTGACGTTCAAGAACAAGTGAAACTAGCCTGTGACCATAGAAATCAGAACAGTGGTTGCCTAACATAAGGGAACAGGAATTAACTGGTGAGATGCACAGGTAATATATCTTGATTGAAGCGCTGGCTACAAGGATTTGTTACATTAGTTAAAATTCACCGAACTGCCTATTTAAAAACAGTGCATTTCAAAGTATTTACATTTTACTTCAAAACGTAAAATTTTACAACAGAAAAGAACCCTTCATTGATCACTGATTCAGAAATTCAGCATAAATATCTATGTTAAATACTAATAGTAATTGAACATATTTGTTGTTGTATGTAACTGTTACCATGAAATAAGTATTTCTTGACCTGCATATTTTATCTAGATATTCATGATATCAAAATAGTTAACAAAAGTATTTTTAATATATGTTGGCCAAGAGGGCAGTTGGCTGATAAAAACATTTTCTTCCATTATCCTTTCCTTTCTTATATATTTCAAAGAAATTCTCTCTGGAACGCTTATAATTCCAACCTCTGGCTCTGGCAACATAAGAGCAAAACGTAAAAATATTCAATACAAATACATATTCATTAAAGACATGATTTTGTTCTCAAAAAGTTGTTTCATAAAAATCACTGGAAGATAAAACCTGTCAACTTTTTTCACAAGTTAGCCAAAAGAGTTTTTAAGAAGTACTTTAAGTACTTCTGGAGGGGAAAAAAATGGGACACGACCCAGGACAGAATTATTTTCCTATCTGTAGAGACTTCTGGCTTCAATGTGCAAGGAAAAAGCACCAGTTGTTCTGACTCATGCTGTACATTTTAAAGTCAATAGATTTAAATATAGAGCCATATCAACATTTGAAATTATTTTTGTCCAATTGGTGTATGTGATGCCAATTTCATTTAAGAAAGGAATTTTCAAATCTTAATTGTAGAAGTCATTCTCCTGGGCCATTGTGTTCATTAAGCTGACATGATCTTATTTTCAAATCTTAGTTTTCAGCAGAAGTCACAGAACTTTAATAGTTGATATTCTTTTAGAGCAATGCAAACAAAACACCTGTCTCTCTCATATATTCATTAGCATATAGGTTTACTGAGATATTTTATAAATGTTAATAGAATTCAGTGAAGTCACTCAACTTCCTGTGAAGGGGATATTTTTGTCTGTCATTCTAAAACTGTAAGCTATTGGAATTTTGAGAAGACTTCAAAAAGAATGGCTAGATGTTTGCATACCAATCTCACAATTTAAAGAGATAGTTTTATTTTTTCAGGTCTTTTTACAGTATAAACTCAGATAAAGAGAGTAAAATAACTTGGAAATCTGAATTATGAAGACAATTAAAAAAAAGTCACCACGTTTGTTTTACTTGGTTTTTAAGATAAGTGCTTAATAATCTTACTTTCTACTTTTGTAAATAACTATGTTTGTTTTTATATTATTTTGCTACAGTACACAGTATATAAATAAAATTTAAAATCCTCACTTCCACATAGACAGGAACCAAGGAATATGATCACTAGGATTTTTACATGTATAATAACAGATATTTTGGTTTATATAGATTCATTTATATTTTAAATACTTTTTTGTTTGTTTAGAGTTTTTGTTTTCTTTTGTCTTTATCATTAAGATCTTTTAATTTTCTATTTTAAGTCTTTGTCTCATATCTTGACTTGGAAATTTTCCCATTCTAAGATTGCAAACATTTTTCCACATATATATTTTTAATCTTACAAAAATATGTTTATATATGTTAAGAATGGTTAGACTTCCTTATAGACTAATAAATAGCTGCATTTATTTACTTTGTTATTTTTTTCTATTAGGAAAATTATTATGAAAGGATAACAGAGTCACACAGTTTCAGGACTACAGGCAATTATTTGTTGACAGGAATGGTACAAATTTGTTGAATTATCTCCTTTATATTTTCGGTATCATTTGTACCTTATACAATTGATACAGCACAACGTGAAGTGATCCTCATCACAACAAATCTCCTATCAATGGTTCATTTCCTGAATTGTATTTCCTCTCTTCATCTGCTCTACTGAGAGAAATGAAGATGACGCTACAACTATGCAGGGAGACATCAACAAATTTTGGAGTACATCTACTTAGAAAGCAGGCTTTAGGACATATGAGAATAAGGGAGAAAATAAATGTACAATTGTGGTCTTCAAGTGGCATGAGGTATGTTACAAACTAAATTGTTTTTTAGTGCAAGTGTTCAATGAACTATTTTAAAAACACAACATAATATTAGCTACAATGCTATAAAATTTCTAAACAGAGTAAAGCTGCATATTGGGTTTTTTAGAAAACAAAGAAGTGTACTGTAAATATTCTTTATTGTAAGCATTAAATGAAGCTATTTTCATAATATGAAAGACATTTAAAATCAATAAAATGACATTTGTAATAATTTTTAAAATTATATATTGTAAACATTAATACATTTGTGGACACAAATGCAAGTTTTCTAAATCTTACAGGACAAAACCAATTGTTACCATATTATAAAGTTCAATTTTCCTAAACAATTTTTAAATTTTTTCATTTGTTTTGGTCTGCTTGGCTTTGGGGGGCATTATATGTATTTAATTACTAACTAGTTCCAGTGAACCACCTGCCAACTAGATACTGGTATTTCTCTAATTAAAACTGTGTAATTAAATTTGTGAGAAAATATAATTAACCTAAAATTTAGGCCAGATTAGAACCTTCCACTTTTCCTAGATGCCCCAATGAATTTAAAGAGTCACACAAAATTCTAAAAATTAATACACATGGCTCTTGTTTTTCTCTAGGTAACTTATACTCTATGAGTTAAAGATCTACTAAAAAAAAACTATGGTTTTTTGTTTATTTTGTTTTGCTTTCTTTCTAAAATATTATCTGATCATCTCCACTTGCCTGTAGTCTAGCTGAAGGCAAACTTCTCTCAGTAAGAATTCTCCATGTACCCTACATATTTATGCCAATGAAAGATAAGATTCTTTTACGAGTAGAAAAATAAATAGTTGGAGTCCTTTGGATAAATTATACATATGGGCAACTAGTATAGAGAGAAAATATGTTTAATGCTACACAACTTACCTTAATTTGGTGAAATCTCATACCTGTGTGGAACTCTTCTTTGGCTGGATTAACAATTGAGGACTGATGGTGAGGAACCATTTCGAGGTATACCTGTGTCTGCCTGGAAAGTTAAAAATCTCATAACATTTAGAACACATTTATTAATCTGCTTTGTCATGACTTTACAAAAACACTTTAAAAACTATATTTAATATTTACATGATCAGGTACTTTTATCTTTTTTTAAGAGTAACAGCTGCCTATTAAAATACAAGAATATAAACATACTGACAGCCCCAGGAAAAAGTAAGTGAAAAAAAAAAAACATATAAAGAGTTTGATAGTATGACTAAAGAAAGAAGGAAAATGTATACCTCATTTTAAGAAAAAAACCTTTAAGTAAGAAAATTTTTAAAGCTAAGAATTAAAATGGATGAGTATACTCTATGCTTTAAGTTTAAACTGAGACTTTAAAAACACTATACACATATAGGCCGGACCCATGTCTTAGCTTTCTCAAATGAACTCTGATGAACTTGTGGCTTATTGAAGAATGTTAAATAAGATATATAATGATCTGGATCTAAAACAGATATTTCATAACAGAAGTATTATGGACCACTATGTGAGGAGACCCACAAACCTCACTCGCAGACCTCATCTGTCATTCTGGACCAAAGAGTGCTTGTCCAATGTGGAAAGAAAGCGTTAAGAAGAGCCATGTGAAATGTCCCAGACTTCTCCTTACTTATCCTGTACCTCTTGGGTACTTGAACCCTTGATTCCTAAGTAAGATATCAAATTCTTCTAAGTTGATTTGAACAATCTGAACCTCTTGCTTAATTCAACCCTAACAAATCCTTGTCCTTATTTCTCTTTCCCTCCCCTTTTAATATAAAGTTAACAAATATCTATTGAATAAATTAATGTATTTTGCTTTATTTATGGTATAAAAATATCATCTGCCATTTATTAATATTTTTAAATTAATGAGCACAAGAAGGCAAATTTTTCAAAATATTTTCCAAATGTGTTTACATTTGATCCAGCTCACATATTTTTAAAATGCTTTACATGTTCAAAGATTTCAGGACTCTCTTAATAAATTGATTCCTTTATTCAACTTCTAAGCCTTTAAAGGATATTTATGGGAAGAATAAAATATTCAGTAACAAATACATGATGTAATTCAAGAATCTGAAACTATAATCAAGTTCTCCCATATTCAGAGGTTAATTGAATCAAACAGTTCTCATGATTCCAAAATGGGATTTCTCTTCTCTCTCTCAGATTTGAGTACCATACTGCTTAAGATGACTTTTTGTAGGTTTGTGGAAAAACAGAGTGCACTAGTATGGGCTAAGACAAAAGTAAATGCATCATTCTTCTGTGGAGCTCCACAGCTTTACATTTTAAAACTGGCTCTAACCCTTCCTTTATAGACTATTCGGTAAAGCTTAAAGGCAAGTTAAAATTCTCCATTCTTCACACTGATGTTGCTAAAAATGATGGAACCTCAAGAAAAAAGTGTCAAAAGAGGTCCCTTTGCACCCTAGCACAATATGTACAGTTCATTTGCCCCTGGCATTGCAAGGAGTGCCTGAGGCACATGAAAAAAGAGAAGTGATAGCTTAGAAAAGTAAGTGAAGCAATGAGAAAAATGTGGATAATATTTTATTAAACTAATATAAAGTCATAAAAATCTCAGCATCTCAGGACTAGAAGGAAGTTTCAAGCCAAAATTATCCAATCTACCATCAAAGCTTAAATCCCTTTTGTACCATCCTTTCTCAGTGGCTATCCAGAGCATATTTATCCAGAAATTAGTTGTGATGATGCATTTATTTCATTCATATTAACTCTTTATCTCTTTGAACAATTTTATTAGAAATTATTCCTTTAATTATATACATTCCTCAATCCTCCACTAATGAAAGTGTGATTGTTACACTAGGATTTCTGAAATCCCTCTCTGGACTCAAACACTGGTTCTTCTGCTGTCTGTCTCGCTAAGCATCATTGAGCAAGTTACCAATGAGTGAAATGGGAAAATAATAGCATTTACGCCTTAGAGACCTTACTTTTCTTCTCTTTAAATGGAGATAATAATACCTTCTTTATAGGACTGTAGGGAGGAATGGATAAACTTGATAGAGTATGCATTACAAGTTTATACTCAATATGACACCTATTTTTATTATCAAAGTATTTCATTATATTATCTTCATTTTTCTGATTTCATTCTAGTTTATCCTTCTAATGAGTGTGCTGAGCATTGGACACAAATCTTCATGTATTGACAGATCATACCAGTGCAAAGTAAAACAAAATTATATCACTCTCTTTATGTGAAATATAAAAATTATATTAACACCCACAAATTTATATTTGTTGCTTGGGTTGTTATTTATACCATTATCACATTTCTTGCTGAATACTGTTTTGAAGACTTCAAGTAAACCTTTTATTTGATGTGTCATTTGTCCACCCTCTGATGAAGTCTCACACATCTTCCAAAATATCTATTATGACCCAGCAAACTTTGTGAAACACATGACTGGAAACAAGAACTAAAAACAGAGCTGATGTCCAATCTACCAGAATTTCAGATGTTCACAAAGATTTCCATTAATTATGAACAAAATATAATTCATATATGTTTGGACCAACTGAACAGAAATAGAAATATCCTTTCTCCCTGCCTCAACATCCTTTGGTTTAGAAGTACAAAATAATTCTCAACCAGAATACAATGTCTCTATCATATTCTCGCAATGTTTTTTTGAAAAAAAAACTGCTGACTGTTACTCATAGTCTAAATTCTACAATGTCCCTTTAGTAGAGGTATCTCTATTTCTATATAAGTTTGAAGATTGGGACACATGAATATTATTAGATCCAATATGGATACTTGTACTGGTGGTATCATAAGAAGTGTTACCCACTCAGGTAAAGATAGATAAGCACTGTGCACAGTAGTCAGACTTGGGATTGTAGCCATTTTATTACCAGTGTTTCCCATTGGCAGGGAGAAATTGCCTAGCAAAACATTACCTGATGAAAGCCTGTTAGAAGCTGGAATTGAACACGAAACTTCTAATCAAACTGACAGAGAAAAGGCCCAAGAAAAAATTATTATATTACCCTGTGCTTATTTGAGGGTGAATACAGATGAAAAAGTGGTTATGCAGCCCACATTAAGAAAAACACAACTTTCAGAAAAAGGAAAAAAGAAGACTCCATGAAAGATAAATTTTTGAAGACTTATAGGAACTGAAAGAAAATTTAGAAAATTATTTTGCATTGTCAGTAGGATGAGGAAAGCATGACCACTTTGAAATGGAAGCAAAAATCCATTAGGAGATATAAGATTAAGAAGAAAATGCAATAGGATATTATTTTTAAAAGAGAGAGATAAAATATAAAAGAATTTTAAAAAATAAAAATTTTAAAACACAACCAAGATTTACAAATGACTCTGCAAAGAATTAAATCAGTACTGCATATGAAAACTATCCATCTTCTCAGAATGCAAAGGAAAAGCAATAATGACTAAACAATAACCAAGAAATAGGTCAGATCTGGAGGATCAATAATAGAAATACAATTTAAAAATTATTCCCCTTCTGAAAAGAATTTAAATATTATAGAAGATAATATTCCTGAACTGCAACTATATATATTTAATGGAATTTCTGAATGATAGCCAAAATTAATGAAGAATACTTCATTCTATGAATCCTACTGGTAATCTAGCTTGAAGTACAAAAATAAAGGAGAATCTATCGCACATTCAGGAAACAATAGTAGTCCTAAGTTTCAAGCATGTGAATAAAATCTGTCCGGTATTAGATTTGTCTCTTGCAGTATCAAATTCCAGAAGTCAATTAAGAATTGACTTCTTAATGTCTACAATGAATTTTGAAATGATTTTCATAAAGATTGGGAACTAAGAATTTTACTCCATCAAAATTTTATTCCATGTGTGTTGTTCACAGAAATACCAACAACCAGAAAAATGTAACATACATGAAAAAAATGTTGACAGATGATGTAATTTTCCCAGAATACAGAAGTTAAAATTGAGAACCTGATGCTTCATAAGTTATATTATAAAAGTAATATTAAGAATAAAATATTTTATCAATTAAACAATACTCAAGTACCATAAAAATATTAAAAATTACCATTAGTTCAGCAAACCACATCTTACTGACTATTCTAATGTACTTATAGAAATTCAGAGAACATTATATCTTTTCTAATGGTACTTCTCTGTTGTTAAAAAAACAATTATTATCCCTTATTATGGAAGCTAATATTCAATAATTCTACTGATGAAATTCTCCTGTAAGCATACATAAACATTCAGAGTTTAGTATTGTTCAGTATCACACACAGTATTCCTCTGGAGAACTATATATATATATCTATATACACACACAGACATATATATAAAATATTATAAAAATTATATTATAATTTAATTCCTCAGGGGAACTATATGTATATATAATTTATATTATAATAATTATATGATTATATATACTATAATATCATATATGACATATATCATATAATTGTTACAATATATAATGAAATATATGATTATTTAATATTCATTATATTATAATTATATTTATAAATATAATTATAATATATAGTAATCAAATATATGAAATCATATATGATTTGATATATCATATATATGATTATATATGATATATATGATTGATATATAATCATATATATGATTGATATATAATCATATATATGATTGATATATAACCATATGTATGATTATATGTCATATATGATTTGATATATAATCATATAATACTATACTATAATAATCATATAATTTACATAAAATTTTAAACAACTGAGAAAATGCATTACACACATAAAAATGAAAATGTTAACGGATGACGGAGGAAAATATAAATTTGTATGTAAAGCCAGAAAATAAAATGCATGAAAAAGTTTGAGTCATTTTTATTGGTTTCTTTTTAACATTTGGTAAATTTTCTTTTGTAAAAATGTACTACTGTTAATAAAAAATATAATAATTTATAATGAATTGATTTTGACTAGTCACTTTTGTTAGTCCATACAACTTTATCCTTACCTATTTTATTGTTTTTAAGAACTAATGTATGACATGTTGATTTTTATTCTATTAAATTGCTCCACTGTTCTAATCAATGCAACTCTTTTCAAAATGGATCTTGTTATTTAATGTGTATACTACTTGATCCAGCTTTGTGTCATACACTAATTTAATGAACACGTCCTCAATGTTTTCATACAACTCCTACTTTAGAGCCAAGGACAGAGCTGAGACAATTACATTCTAACTTGATACATATCCATTCATTAGTATCCTTTGGTTTTCATGTACAGCCAGTGACTTCTTCACCTAATTGCCCTTGGTTCACAGTCATATTTTTTCCTCTTGTTCGCAAGGCTATCATGAATTTAATATGATACATCTTGCTGAATTTCACATAGGTCCTGAGGATTGCTTTGCTGTGATCTACTTATTTGATAATTTTGATAGCCTGTCAAGAAAAAGACTAGGTTATACTCAGATATCTTGTTCAGACCTGAATATCTAAATGAAAACTTTGCTGATGGTTATAACAAAATTTCAAAAATACTTTAAACTATCGGCTTATTCTTAGTACTCATTATCATTAAAATACAAACATTTTAATTATCTCAAAATATTGAAATCATCATCATATTACTGGTTGACTAAATATTATGGAACGGATAAGGATATGAAATAAAACTATAATTAGCCCACAAAATACTTATGACTTAAAATTTCAATATGGTGGAAAATTATGAAAAGGCATTTCAAAAAGTTCAGAGTAAACCTACAGAACCACAGAAATGTTTAAATTGTTACCACTGTGAACAAATTCTGGAAAACACTTTTTTAAAAAAAGCCAAAGGGTTTGGTTTTAAATTGACACAACAAATGGCAACATACAAGTATGAGAGCCAGCAGAAAAAGAGTGAGGGAGTTAGAGCCTTAAAGCAAGGAAACGTGTCAAATCGGTTTAGTCAGAGACATTTAATTGTAATAAACTGCCTTGTCAAGGGACTCACAAAAAAATATTAGAAATAAACAAATATCATATGCTGTAGTCTCATTAAAGAATATAAAACGTAAAATGACCACCCCGTGCATCATTCCTATTAATTTATTTTATTACACATATTATAAACCTTAAATAATGCATAGAAATTATCATAATTTGAAAACAAAGTTTTAAGAATAAAATTGTGATCTCATTTTTGATTATATTTTAACAATATCTTCAAATTACTCACTAAATATATACATGATAGCAGTAATTGTGTTTCCATAAGACTAAAGAATAGCAAATTAATTCTACTTTTTTAGTTTTACAAAGTTGAGTGTTGCCCAAACTTAATGTTTTCCTGTGATGAATTTCAAGAGAAGAGCTAAAGTTTTTGATCCCTGGGTAACTTACAAATATCTACAGTCTTATCTCTGCCTGGTGAGTTATAGAAATTAATGGAACATAAGTGAATGATAAATTTCTCACTAAGAGTTAAGGAAAACGATGAAGAAAATAAGGGGGAAGTATATTATTCTAGAAAAAAATGTTTAAATCAACTATTTACTAATATAGCAACTATAATTAATACAGGTAGGTAAGTTCCTGAGTAGATTTATCTGCCCTTAGATTAAACAAATATGAAAATCCTGAGGCAAAATACAAGTGATATCTGTGTGGCCTAATCTTGAGCTATTTGCAATGGTTCAACTAAAAAGAAAACAAATGAAGCTAAAATAGTCACAGCTAATCCTGCTGTAGCACCACCTCTGTGACAAATGAAGAGCTGTGGCACTCCAGGAATTCTAACATTCAAAATCATTCTATCCAACTTAATCTTCAATCTGCATATGTGGTTTGGATTGCCTTGGTGACATTCCTGACCTACGTCACCTCTATCTTCAGGAAAAGTAGATTGTCTGTCAATAAATTTCACTTTGTCATTTAAATGAAGTCCTTTGGTCCTGATTTTCATTTGTCTTTACAAGGGAAGGAGAATAGGATTAGATCCATGTGACTTCTGATTTTGTCAAGCCAACAATTCTTAATCGGGGTGATTTTGCCACATCCTTTCCTCCTGGTAATATTTGGTAATGTATGGATAAATTTTTGCTTATCACAACCTGGAGAAGGGATGCTACTGACATGAAAAGGCAGAGGCCATGGATGCTGCTAAACATCCTACAACACATAGGACAGCCCCCTCACCCAAAAAAAGATTTATCCAGCTCAAAATTTCAACAGTGCTGAAGTTAAATATATATATATGTATATGTATATACACTGAGAGTCATCAAGTACTATTCTAGGTGATAACAACAGAGTGAACAAGACAGAGAAAGTCCTTATTCTCTTGTAACTTAAATTTTAATAAGAATATTGAAAATAAACAGAAACAAATACCTAATTTGGTTTTAGAAGAGGCAAGTGACATAAACATAGAGTAAATAAATAAAATGTAAATGGTGGAAGAGGTAGGAGCGGACATAGGAGCTAGAATATTATTTTTTGTAGAGACACACAACTGACCATGTGATTTCTTTCCCAACCATCCTTTCTCACTGACCTTACTTGCCTTTATACAATTACTTCAGTCATAATTTAAGCCATAAAAAAGTCTAAGGAAAAAAATAAAACAAAGACAGCAAAGAATAATATTCATTGAACTCATGCAGCTGTTGGCCTCTAGGCTATGATTTGGTAAATTTTGATCATATAATGCTTGATTTCACAAAGATTGAAAAATAATATTTTTTAATTTAAACAGTTACCTATGTAGATTAACATGTCTAGTTTTTCTTTAGAAGGTCTTGTTTGAACTTTTAAAGGTAAGTATTATGCAAAAAGTATATCATTGAATATAAAGAAAGAATAAAAACTGAAAAGAAATGTTATCTAAAAAACCTAGGATGAAACACAGTTAAGACAAGGGTGAGGAAAATATAGAAACACTCAGGGCAAAATGGTCCAATCCAGGTAATCATTGTTGATCAAAATCCACATAATAGAGATGGAGCCAGAAAACCTTTCATAAAGTAACTCAGCCTGCATTGTGATTTAGAAACAGGTAATTCATGAGATTAAGGTGCCCTTTATATATCATCAGGAAGCAGTCAACCTAAAATGTAATCAATGTAAGATAAGCTATAAATTTAGAAAAGTTATGAAAGTGTATTGAAAAAGAATGAATGAGGCTGTAAAGATGAGTTCAAGTGGACAATGGTCAGCAAGGAGTCTGCCCAGAGATGTGTTGAGGGGAAAGGATATGTCAGTGTTTCTCCCTCACTATGGAGACGTATCTCCTACCTCTCTGTGGAGTAGGGTATCAATTCACCCAGCAGATCCTTTACAAACTTTCCTCCAGCATTTACTAAAAAGAGAGGAAATAGCTCTTTTTGCACAATCCTGCCTGCACTGCACCTCTTTGTCTGGCTTGAAGCTTCCTACAAAAGAATTTGTGTGTGTGTTTTATCTAAAAATGCCTACTTGCATTTTGCATTCCTCTGCATATTCTATAACATAATTGTGTTTGTTTATATATAAATATGTTTAAATGTCTTAACAATTCCTGATAAAAATAAATATAATCTGGTAGTGAAATTGGCACTCTAAGGCAATGCACCATGTTTATCTCATGGTTTTGCCACATACTGATACATACTCTCAAAGTACTCTGGTTTGGAAATCCTACTTTAGGCTGCCAGCTGGAATAAAAATAGATATTCTCCTAGTGCCATATACACTGAGTAGGTTTTTCACTATTAAGTTTTTCAATTGCCTCAATTCTTGGAACAGGATCCCCTGACCACCGGACACCAATGTTTTATCACTACAGCAGGCTGATTACCAATACAAATCAGTAAATTGGCATTTTCATTTACACACCAATCTGAGAATACTTGTTTATATGAGTTGCACATTTGCCTGTATTAATGGTAACAATTTCAGTCTTTCAAGGCTCTGAAGTACCAGATGCTATACTCCACAGTTCTGATTTAAGAACACTATCTCATGCAGCTCATCTTAACAGGTTAATAGGTTGCATACGTCTTTGTTAGTTTCAACTTCATGTGGAAAAGGAAATCCAGTGAAAGATATAAGAAGAAAAGAAGGGAGTTACTGCATTTTCACCTCTTCCCGACAACCCTTACTTCATAACTTTACATTCTAAACTACTTCATTTCTTCCCTCATCCAAACAAAATTGTATTTATCTAATCTCAGCACCTCGTGCTAAATGTTGGAGAGTATAGTCTATAACCAAAAGATGTTAATAAAATATCAATCCTGTGTGTGAAAACCAAACGAATACATAAAACAATGTGTAATTATGGGTTTGTATCATGACTTTCAAGCTATAAAGTCACATTAAGTAAAGATCTAGGGGTAGTGTCTCAATTGCATTCCATGGACTCTCTCTGCTCTCCCTCGCTCCCTCTGTCTCACTTCTCTCAAGAGTAATCCATCCCTTTACCTCTGTTCACTCCCTAGTTTTCCTCTCACCTCACGCTCAGTCACAGTGATTTTGTTTCATCGTATGCTTGGTTCTCAGAATAGGCGGACATCCTTCAAGGCCTGAGGTTTTGTTGCTAGAGGAGAGAATAGGGCTCTGGATCCTATGGGTAGAGAAAAATAAAAAAAAGTCCTGTCTTTGTTACCTTTAACAAAGGTCTCTTTCTGGAATGGTTTTTAATGTTTGCATGTGCCAAGGAAGTGCAGGAATGGATTGGAAATTAGTAAGTATCCAATTACATACCTTCATAAGGTAGACTTCTAAAAATACTTATTTTTTGAGACCAGTCTGACCAACATGGAGAAACCCTGTCTCTACTAAAAAATACAAAATTAGCCAGGCATGGTGGTGAGTGCCTGTAATCCCAGCTACTCGGGAGGCTGAGGCAGGAGAATCCCTTGAACCGGGGAGGCGGAGGTTGCAGTGAGCCAAGATCGTGTCATTGCACTCCAGCATGGGCAACAAGAGTAAAACTCCATCTCAAAAAAAAAATTATTTGACTGATAACCTTAAAAAAAAAATGACAACTACAAAACCAAAAAGCAAACAATACAAAATCTGAGACAGGAGCACTAGAATTAGCCTGTATGAATACAGAGAAAATATCTGTTAATGTGCTTTATTTTTACTCCATCATCTGCAATGCATTTTAAGACTTACAGCCAGCAGCCATTTCAAGATGCAATACTTCTATTGCTAAAAAAAATTCCAGAACCAAGGCTGATTTTGTTTTATTTTAAATCAAGTAACTCAGTAGAAAGGTAGTTGATGAAAGCTTGTTTTCTGGCTAGAAGACGAATGGGGAAACTTCCAGTTTTATGATTTGCTGGCATCTCATCTTGAACCTCCCAGTAATGCACAGGTTGCTTATTTCACTGCCATTGGATACCTCACAACTGCCTGGAACTCAATATCAGCAACTCTGGTGACTAAACAGCATTCTATTTATCAAGATTAAAAACCAGAATAGTGGCTTAAAAATGAAGTATGGTTTGGAATCCATTCTAATAGAACACAGTATTCACTATATAGATATGTTTGGCTTTGTTGGAGCAACCAGAATTCAAGTATAATTTCCATGTTAGGAGTTTACCACATCTCAACTATAAATGAACATTATTCAATACAACATAAAGTCTTCCATTTACTTCACCAAATTGACTTCATTTATAATTACATTAGTGTCTTATTTGATAGCAAAAATATTTGATTATTTATATATAACTGATAGTGTGATAACACAAAAAAAGGAAAGATATGGACCTATAATGCATGCTTTATATAAGAAGGTCAAATTACACCAAGACAAAAGATCATTTAAGTCAATCATCTTCTTCACTGATGAGCATTAGATTCTTATGCCCTGTAAGCAGATCATCTCTTGATAACTCATCAATAGCTAACCACATGGCTGTTTATCCCAGAAAGTCTTGCTTTCATGTTTTCTATTATTTGTAGATACTTTTCTTAATTACTTGCATCTAGGAGGCATTGAAAAAACTATTAATAGCATATACTTCAATTGATCATTTTGTTTTCACTTCAGTGGTTTTTTATTTCATTGGCATAAAATCTATAAAACTCTTTTGACATACAAATACTTAATCAACTTTCAAGGGGGAAAGTGTGAGGAAAAAGAGACCACCCTGCCTATTCTCACCACTGAGGAGGCCATGAGCAAAGGTTTCTCAGGAGCCCTCAGAACTACTGAGTCAGGTCTTTAAAACGGATCATTCTACAGCTATGCAAGAGCCCCAAACAGGAGCTCCTCATTTCTTATTGGTTAATTTACAATGAATTCTAAAGACATAGGGTACATATATATCATGTATTAATTAGTTAACATATTAAAGTTAAAAAACAGCCCAAACCAAGTTTTGATATCTTACCTTTGCTGGTCTCCATTAGAATATGATGTCACTTATTTCTCCCTTTTAAAATGTGTCCTTCTCCCTACCTCTTCCCTTCCTTCTCTCTATACAAATATGTATTTATGTCTGAATTTCCTTATATGATCACATTTTTTTCTTAAGAGCTTTTGAAGACAATGCAGGTGATCTAGTGAAACTATGCCTTTTTATATTCTAAAATGTTAATGATAATAAAGTAAAATAATTATACTACATAATGGAAAATAAAAATTTGTCTAAGTATATCTAAACTTCAGAAAATAAAACAGCACCTGAAAATTGAAATATCATTGTTAGTTTTCCATAGTCATTTTAAAATAAATTTATAATTTACACTGCTACTTAAAGGTATTACTCTTTTTAAATAAAATTTTATCCTAAATGTAACCAGTAGCTATAGTTTCTGAAAAAAATTTAAAAATAGAATTATCTGTTGGTATTCTGTTGAATTTGATGTCCTGAATAACTGAGCATTCCCACAGGCATCTAAACTTCATAACTTAGAACAAAATAAAACAAAATAAATTAATATTCTTTAATTATTAACAAGGTACTTCAGGATGAGTAGTTATACTGAACTAATTAGCATTTTTCTTATATGCTAATTTTCAGATGTTCTTTAATTTTGGTAGTTTAGATACTAGACAAATAAGTTACTATGACACCAATTTGAAAGAGGTATGCAAACTGTATATATATATATATATATATATATATATATATATATATACACACACATATATATATATATATACACACACATATATATATATATATATATATATATACACACATATATATATACTAGTTTTCTTAAAATTAGAGGAATATCTTCATTAGCTACAATAGGGAGGAGGAGACCATTAAGGTTAATTGAAAGATTTTTCTTTAATAAATGGAAGAACTGTCAACTTGGTTCAAACTGTCATTTAAAAAAAAAATTTGCACTTCTGTATATCATTTTTGGAACCTCCTAAATTGTCTTTTGAAAAACATTCTGGCTGGCATACAGCATCTTTTATTTTTATGTTATCTCACGTGATTTTTTTGTTAAGAGACACTTCAGGATATTTTTCATAAAATGTGTTCAGTTTAGAGCCTCAGGTTTATTGTATTTTTTACACTAAAGCAGCATTATGTTGCTCTCCTTATAAGAACAAAAATATCTCAAAAGAGTAAAGCTTCCCAAGGTCATTGGCCTGTGTCTTTCTGACTCCTCAACCAGGTATTCATTTTTCTTAGTTTCTTGTCAGTGTGCTGTGATATCCTTCACATCTGTCTGTGCCTTTGCTTTTATTAGCAGAAAATACAGCTATAGCTTTAGTGTCATGTGTACTATAAAGACAGGATTTTCAAGAGATTTGACAACTCTCATATTTCCTGAAGTATTCTCAATGTAACACAGAAACAGTTTATTACTGTTAAGTAGTGACTGTCTCTCCAGCTTGAATAATGAAGTTCTCTAGGTCAATATTTTATACAATGATACATTTAAGGAAGCATTCCTCTTCAGCTTGGCACTAAAACAATGGCTGTCATAACACAAATCTATGTATTATCAATCTCACATGCCACCATAATCAATCTAATTCGTGGGGCAGGGAAAGTATATGTTATTGAGTTAAACCAAGAATTTTCTTCTACCAAAATGTTTATAAAGGAACATAATAAAATTATTTACAGAGATGAGATTGTACTCTACAACGTGGAATAAATTTAACCCTCTGTGAAGAGTGTTCACAGCTGCAGGTGATTTACCTATGTTACTGGAAAAGACACAGTCCTATCAAGAATGAAAGCCTCAAGCCTGAGCTTCACAAAGCCACTCAGAGTAGTGAGACAGGAGAAAGAGAGACATGAATTAGAAAGTCTAACTTTTGAAGGCAACGACTACAACACACACAAAAAAAATCCCCAAAACACAGCACAAAGTGTGCTTTATAGAATTCTTAAAAATCAAAACCTTGCCTGTCTTTTGTTTGAATATTTCATGACAAGAGGCCATTTCTAAGGGAGAAATGCTTTCCTTGCTGGTCAAATAACAGTAGGTTTTAACATGGAATAAATTCACAAACTTTTCTCGAGAAAGAGAATTTAGGCCATTTCAGTCTAAAGAAGCCAAAGCGTACATCTGCATCGATCCTCTTGGCAGCCAAAAGCAAGCCCCTTTGAAGCTCTACGTTTGTACCAACACCTGTTAAGACTCTGCCTGCCCTCGATTCCGTTTTTTATCTGGCAGTATTGCAAGTGTACTCAATTGAAGATGATTCCAGAGAATAAAGAAAATGTACCTTGGCTAGAGATGTACATTTATTTTTTCTTTTTCATATTTTTTTCTTCCCACATACTCTGCCCTTATTGCTGTGAGTGAGGAAAAACTCACTGGGCTAAGTTTTTTTAGCTCTATGAATTGGTTGGTAAATTTATCTCAATGGAAAAACCATTTTGATTTAGGTTTTGACCTGTATTTTCCAATGCAGCTTTATGCTTGATCAAGCTGACTTCTGTATATCTTTCTAATTTGATTGAGAACTGGTAGGAGGAGAGTTTGGATTGGTACCCCAGGCTAAAGCACAATGATGTTCTCTTCATTTCTTATCATTCTCTTTATTTCTCTTATGTGGTAGATTACATTGAACCAAGATGGGTGCACCTATACGTATTTTATCCCACATATTTTTTAATGTGACAGTAGTAACACATTTTCATCAAGGGATGGGGTTCATGTTCTTTCCTCTTGAACTTGTGGGAATCTTTGTAACTGGCTTAAGTAGAATTTGATAGAAGTAACCCTCCATAAGTTTTGTGGCTAGATTGTAAATGTGATGTGGTTCTCTTTCTTTCTCTCTCAATGCTGGCCTTTGTAGCCAAGCTATCATGTTGTGAGGATGACCACACCACATGGAAAAAACATTAATGAATTCTAGGCAACAGTTCCAGCTAAGGTCTTAGCTGACAGCCATCATCAACTATCAGATATGTAAGTGATATGTTTTCAGATTATTCCAACTTTTCCAGCTGAAGCCAAAAATGTTCTGAAAGAAACAAGCCATCTTTACTATGACCTATACATATTTCTGATCCACAGAAACCATGAGAGATAAGACATGAAGAAAGTATTGTGTTTTAAGCCACTAAATGTTAGGGTAATTTGTTATGTAGTAATAGATAACTAATATAGAATATCACCTCTTTTAATCTCTTATCTCAAAGTCATTGAGGTATTTATCAGAGACTATAAAATTGTATCTGCTGAAATGTTACACCAGTCTCTATACTCTACATCGTTTTCACAACCACAGAACGTTTTTCCTTGACAAAACCTTTCTCAGGACTGACCATCTCAATGTCAAAGGAAAATGCCTCTTATTCCTGAATTTTCCCATTGCAATGTCTGCAGAAACTGTAATGAAGTAATGATGTACTTCAAGATATACTGGCTTGAGACCTGAGAAAATAAAGATACGCCTGAGATGCTTCCAGAATAATCATGTCTATGAAAATGCCATGGGCCAATTGACCTTGCCCAGAGCATGATATGTAACTCACCAGAGCAGAAGCCTGGGGAATTTGAAGGTTTGACCTCTTACTTTTCCACTTGCTTTGGGCTCTGGAAGCCTGAATCCAATTGTCCCTACACACCGTCAAATCCAAATACTATTCAAATCAATATCCAAAGAAGTTATTTGACTCAGAAATTTATATAAAGACTAAATAACTCATGCTAGAAGATAAGAAAGATATTGCTATATAGTTAACGTTAACAAAATTGTATGCAAGTATTACAGATACCAAAAAGCTATCATTTCTTATTAGTGAGGGAACTATTTTTTCAAACAGAATCTTACAGTGGAGACCCCTCAAAATAAAACAGATGAATGGCTTAGCTCTAAAGAGGCAATTAGCAATCCAGAGCCCTACCTGTTCTGCCCTAACCTAGTCCCACTTCAGAGGTCTTGAGGAATTGCTGAAGAAACCTCACTGAGATCCAAAGGAGGCTTGAAAACCAATGCTATTAGTCTCTTTGACATAAAACTAATACAAAAATATATGAGTTTAGTGCAACTGGGCATGAATATTGTCTTTCAGACCTTGGGGGGATTTCTCCTATGTTCTTCAAATTCTCCCCACTTTTTGTGGTTTTCACACAGGCATAAGATGAAGAACTCACATGGTAATAATAAGGACCTTATTAATTTCATAGAACTCTGTTTAACTCTGTAATTGCTCAAAGTACAAAGTTTAAAATCAGAATTATCTGCATAGCTGAGAATGCATTGATGTGCCTTTAGTAAGCTCTCCAAAAATGCCTGCTTGTCTTCATTACTGGAAAAAGTATTCAGTCTCATGTTTGACCACCCTCATTTCCTTGTCTCAATTATTCAATCATTTTTCCCAACTTCTATCAGTTTCATCTCATCATATTTACCACCTTCTCCTTACTCTTACGAAACTTCCATAAACTAGTCTTTTGTTACTTCAGACCCAGTCTTTTACATCCTAACTGGTCTCTCTGCTTCCAGTCCCTTACCCTTTATACTTCTTAAACATAATGCCAGAATAATTTTCCAAAATCATTATGACCATCTGCTCTTCAGATATTTTCACTAGCACTTAACCCCATTGTGTTTGTTTCCTTTGCTTGATTGGCAAAGCTTTTTAATTTTCTCAAGTTCTGTCTCTAATACATAAGTATGTTTTCACTGTGACCACCACCAACCTTCTATACCAGCCAAAACCAACATGACGTTATTCCCCAAAAATACTTTTAAGAAGCTTGAAGAAATGAATTATCTAACAGAAAGAGTATATCTATGAAGAATGCAGAGTGAAGAAATATAAGAATTATAATTTAAAATTAGTAATTGTATTAAGAATATATCAATTTCAATAAATATTCCCTGAGATTCCCAAACTCAAAATCAAAATAGAAACATGATCAATATTGATATTCATAGCATCCATGTGATAAAAAAAGATCTGTACTAAGGGGCTTGTATCTACCCATTTCATGTTTTACTTCCTTCTGGAGAAGTGGCCTTTATAATAAAAGTAGTATGAGTACCTGCAGCACATACTACTTATTATATACCCAGCAGTGTGTTTATGTTATTTAATAATCACACCAACCTAGGGGATAGGTACCACTTTATTATCATCATTTAATAGATAAGGGGATTGATGCAGAGAAAACTTAATTAACTTGCCCCAAGGCCCCACAGCTGGTTAGTGGTTCTGGGATATCAAACCAGGCAACCTGGCTTCAGAGCCAAAATTCTTAACTATTACTCCAAACCCACATTAATAGGCTCTAATAGATATGTGCTGAAATAATGGACAAGTAAACCATACATCCCTTTCCTTCCAGCTCTCCCACATAGAATGCTCTAAATGGGATGATATGTGTCCACATTACCCTCTCGTTTGTCACTGATTCCTTTTGTTTCCTCTTCTTTCTCCTTTGCTGTGACTCCTGTGTCTGCCTCTGAACATTTTTGCTAAATCTAGTGAACTATTGTGAACAGTTGAGGTGGGTTTGTGCTGCCCTAACTAGCCCACCCTAAACCCATTCTCTGTTGTGCTACCTCCCTCAATTCCAGTGGTGCCCAGAGCTCTGATAAGAAGACCTCATACAGACTTCCTCAGCCAAACCTAAAGACTCATCCCTCGTCCTACCTTAGCCTCTCTGACTCCATCTTTTCACAAAGGCTTTCAAGCATGGAGAGTTTCTATGTCCCTGTCACTACAAGCTACTTCACTTAGGCCCTCAGACATTCATTGACCTAAGGAGATCTGGAAAGGCGGAAGGTGAGTTTCTGCCCCTTGCTCTCAATAGCCATCCCTGATTCTCTTTACAAATAAAAAAGTTTTCAAATCAATATGAACATTCTCATGTCTTCGGTTTGATGATCATGTTAAGATGAAAGCCAGATTTTAATCATCTTTCTACTCAGAAGGAAAAGAAGGAATCACTAATTTTATGTAAAACTTCTAAATGTGTGAAATCTCACAAATATTCCATGTTCCATTTTTTTGCTCTATTTCCAAAGTCCCCAAGGGCACAAAAGTGTTGAACCCCATATTAGATATTTTTCTAATTCTATTTTACACAATTCCCCTATTCCAATTTACACAAATTTTAACTTTCTCAGGTTCTGTCTTCCTTCATGTACTATAACTAAGCCCAATAATATAATGTCTGAGATAGAGCCCTGATGCCATATGTGCATAGGCTTCATATTTTAGCATCATTTTGTGAATTCTTTCCATGTAGGGATTTAATATTAAAGTGCAATTAGGAGACACGCAATATGTGGGTACTTAAATTAAGCCATCTAGATAAGTACTAAAAAGCATATGTGTTTATATTAAAGTAATAATACTGTGTAGCTTTATATGTAGGATAATGATCTTATTGAGAATTTGCTATAGCGCTCAGTTTCCGGGTTTAGTGTCAAAAGCTCAAGAGTAAAACTCTGGGGAAAACTTCATTACTGAAAAGAAAACACTGAGATAACATCATGTTTCCAATCTTTAGTTTTATAGGTGTATTGCTGCAAAAGAATACAGTAATTGCTTGTGAGGAGTTACTTTGGTTTGAAAAAAGCTATATTAATATGAGAATTGTACTTAATAGAAATATGAGAACAAAGTAATACCAATATACTGAGTGAAATAAATACTAAATATTATAAATTTAGGTGAAGATAACCCCCAAAATTCTCTGAATCAATATAATTTTATACATTTCATATAAAACATATAAAATATATAGAAGTATATTGTATAACACAATCACACTTTAATTCGGGGGTCTCATTTTTTTAAATTTTACTTTAAGTTCTGGGATACATGTGCTGAACGTGCAGGTTTGTTACATAGGTATGCATGTGCCATGGTGGTTTGCTGCACCTATCAACGCGTCATCTAGGTTTTAAGCCCTGCATGCATTAGGTATTTGTCCTAATGCTCTCCCTCCCCTTCCCCACAACCCCCCGACAAGGGGCCTCTTTTTTTTTTTTTTTTGAGACAGAGTCTCGGTCTGTCTCCCAGGCTGGAGTGCAGAGGCGCGATCTCGGCTCACTGCAAGCTCCGCCTCCCGGGTTCACGCCATCCTCCTGCCTCAGCCTCCCGAGTAGCTGGGACTACAGGCGCATACTGCCACACCTGGCTAATTTTTTGTATTTTTAGTAGAGACGGGGTTTCACCGTGTTAGTCAGGATGGTCTCATTCTCCTGACTTTGTGATCCGCCCGCCTCAGCCTCCCAAAGTGCTGGGATTACAGGCATGAGCCGCTGCGCCCAGCCAAGGGGCCTCACTTTTAAAAACAAAAAAACGTAACATTGTATTAATGGATAGTGTTAAAATGTTATCAAAAAAGTTGCAAGTGCATGAGTCATGATATGCTCCTGTATGCTGTAATCAGTACCTAAAATCTCAGTGGTATATCATAAGAGTTCATTTCTCACATAAATTTCAACATGGTCCAGGTATCTCTCCAAGGCAGCATCTAGCATTCCAGGCCACTCTAAACTTAAGGCACTTTCCATATCAACAGATACTTTCCCCAACTGCCTTAGCTAAATGCAAATCATATATCACTTCAACTCAAATTTCACTGGCCAAAGCAAGCCACATGACCACTTGTAACATCAAAGGAGGCAGAGAAGTACAATTCTTTCTGTGTCCAGAAAGAAATTTTGCTGAGTGGCCATAATATCTACCATACTAGTCAACTGGATTTTCATCATTGCTGCCAATGAACTTTTTGTATCTATTAGCAAAGTCAAATTGTAATCAGGTTACTTTGTGCATATAGAACGAGAATGAGGGTAGTTAGATGACTTTCCTTTCTAATGTCATCAAGTAATTATGCCTTATACAAGTATACATGCAACATAGATCAAATATTCATATAAAGGATATCTGTTTATAAGCAGCTTCTAAAAATATTAAATAAATTGGATTAGCCAGTCAAAAAAAGATTATCTGACAGCTCATATAAAATTCAGCAGTTTTTAACATGCTTGGGACATGAAGAAAACCAAAAACCAAAACTATTATAGGCCAGGAATGAAAATCTGGGCACAGATTATATAGTAAACCAGAAATGGGTTAACAATGGAAAGAAACATAGATAGCATCTTGTCTAATTTCTTCATTTGAACAAAAGGTTATCATATAATTAAAGGAAACCCCCACAGTAATGTGTTAAATTTAGTCCAAAAATCTCAATTGTGTAACATGCAGAGTTACTTTATTTCAAGTTTACCAAAACGAGTCAACACAACTAACCAGCTAGGTGTTTGTAGGGTCAACCTGCGCCTACTATTTCTGTCCTGATCCAAAATACAACTTTGCACTACCTAGCAGTTGTTCATTTTAATTCAAGACATGGAGATGAATCAAGTCCTGTGGCTCTGTGATTTCTAGCACAGTGAACATCATTTTTAAAAACCTTATGGCTAGTATGTGTACATTTTCTATGTCCCTGGAGTTTGATCCAAGGGAATATGAGGGTTAAGGAGAACTGCCATTTTCTTCTTCCTTCCCCAAAAGGGGCTGCCTGCTGTTTTCCCGTCTGGACGCACTTTCTATGTACCTATTTCCCACATCTAACAGTTTAAAAATTTAGCCCACTCTTATTTGAGAAAGGGGACAGATGATTAATGGAAACCCATAGAAAAAAATCACATTATCAATCTGAATTTTTAATATTGCTGGGGTTTGCTATATTTGTTTTGTAAGTTTGAGCAATTCTGAAAGTTGTAAAGTAAAAGTAAAATTTCTCTCTTGTTTTTACCCTAATCATACTCCCCAGAGTAAACACTTCATTCTAGAAATTCAGATATGGTGGCATGGAGGTTTTAAATGTGCCATTCAAAGTTATAAAAGTATTAGGAGAAGAAAATAGAATCTGTTACCTTTGCATGATATAGTACTAGAGATGGTGGGTATTTTCCTTTAATTTTTTGAAACTATAATATATGAAAACTATGATATAAAGCACATAAAATTTGGAAAATGGTGTGTTAACATAATTAATGATAATCAACATTAATTCAGAATGAAAATACCTTAATAAAATACATTTGGAGACCCAGACTTCCACTTTAATATTCTAAAATAAATAACGAATTGCCAAAACTTCATTGTCCTTTGAACTTTAATTTTTTTTTAACCTGATGAAGATTTTACTACTACAGATCTCACTAGACTGCTATTAATTTAGCAACTCAATTGGGCTTAATCATTCCTAATTTTAATATTCTTTAAGTTGGACACCACCCATAGGAGTTTCCAGTGAACTTGTCCCAGTAGCTTAACCAGTGATTTTATGGGTATAACTAGCTTTAAGCAATTATTGCAGTTTTATAACCCACAGGCATTTTATTAGATTTTTCTCCTGCTGAATAAATTTAGTTCTACTAGTTTGTCGTGCATTGTTCAAAGGGTTAAATTCAGCAGCCCTGTATTAAAACTTGATTCTTCTTCTCTTGTCTACTCTGCATTATTGATTCTGTATTGCAGAAAGATGCATCCTCCAAATCCAACTCAGTCATGTTATTCCACCAATAAAATCATTTTTTTGGCTTCTCTTTATATGTAGAATAAGGCCCACTCTCCTCATCATTGTCTATAAAGCCCTTTTTGCCTCCTCACCAGCTAGATCCAGCCCCACTCTCCCCTCTTTTCACAGACTATACCCACACTGATATGCTTTCAAAGGAAATCTATGGGACACACCAACATATTGTAGTACACAGAACAGATATTTTCTAAATAGTACTCCAGTGGCTACATATAGCTCTTGTCACTTCAAAAGCTACACATCTTATTCTTCACTGTTTACTACTTGAAGAATCAGCAGCAGCTTAATAGTGGACATTACAGCATCATATATTTTAGTCATTTTTATGGTCTTTCTAGAAGCATCTGCTATAATGTTTAAGTGGAAAAGGATTCAGTTTCTGCCCTACAGCTTATACTATAAGCATATGTAGGCATTTATTTAATATCAAGAAGAAATTTAAAATATCCATTTCTCAGATTACCAGCTTTTAAAGTTTAGAGTTCACAGATATAAGGCTATACAAATAGAACTGATTTGAGTTCTATAAAACTAGAAGTCTGTACCATTATTTAGCAATTAATTATCCAGATATATTAGCCTTAATTATTCAAACCAATTTACCTGTTAACTCTATATCCTTTTAATAATGTTCTTTATATGAGAGAAAGCTGTAACCCAGAAAGATTCTTAGCTGATACTCTCACTTCTCCTCAGGGCCTCAAGAGATTTAATGTGTCAGTCTAGCTCTTGTAAATGCCCTAGCTACAGCTCTTTTTATTATGTTCTCATATAATCTTCTCATATCAAGGGTCTTCACTCACTTGGAGCATACTTTTGGGCTTATTCTGAGACTCTACAAACTCAGCACATTTCTGTATTGTGTCTTTGAGACCTATTACTGGGAGAGACTTGAATAACTGACACAAAACAGCTATTAGATGACACACAAAGGATTTGATGAACTGGTTTGATATCCTTTCAAGTAAATTTTAAAAATCAGAATTCAAACTCTACTTGTAGCTGAATTAGGGAAATATATGTTCTCTTTTTAATGCTTTTATTACATTATACATTTGTTTGATTTCAATAGGTCCTGATGAGACCTGAGTAGTAACATTTTCTACCGTGATTTAAATCTATTTGTAGGTGACATGATTGTATGTACAGAAAATCTGAAAGAATACCTAAAAAGCAAAACAAAACAAAAATCTACTAGATAAATAGGTGAATTCAGCAGTAGCTCCCAGAAAAAGGGTCAGCATAAAAAAAATAAATTTAACAACCATAGAGTAGCAACAAATAGAAAATTATCAAATATTAATGCTGGAGTTTTCCAAAATTAAAACTCTATCCATGAAAAGACACTGCTAATTTGAAAAAACAAGCCACTAACTAGGAGAAAAATCTTTTACATTACACATATTAGAAAAAAGATGTCAAGCTAAACATGTATTGTCCCTGTAGCCATTAGCCATGTACCAATTTATATTAAAATTTAAATAAAATTAAATAAAATTAAAAATTTAGTTCCTCTGTCATACTACCCTCATTTCAAGCACTGAATAATCATATGTGACTAGTGGCCACCATATTGAACAACACATAAAGTTCTATTGGACAGAGTTAATCTAGATACAATAAAGAACTCCTACAAAGAAATTATTGTAAACATAATGGCCACAAATTGAGAACAACACAAATTTATAATCAATAGGTGAGGAGATAAACAAATACTGGTAACAAGTAATAGGTAGACAAATAATGGACATACTAAGATACTCCTCACCAATAAAAAAGAACACATTTTTCATAAATATCAACATGAAAGAATTGCGAGGGTCTTATGTTGAGCCAAATAAGTCAAATATATAAACCACATGATTCTTTTTAGAGCAAGGTTAAGAACCTATAAAACTAACCTATGGAGATCAAAATCAGAATCGTTACCTCTAAGAGAGGTAGGGGGGAATCAACTGGGACAAGGTATGAGGGAACTTTTGAGGACCTTAATAACCACCACACACACACACACACTACACACACACATAGGCAATATATAACAGAAGGTGAACAACTTCATAGAATATCAAATAATTACCTACTAATAACACAAATAAATACAAGTATGTACTAACACAAATGACTAAAATAAAAAATATAAATATTACCAAATATTAATGAAGAATCAGGAGCAACTGGAACATACACACACAGTTTCAAGGATTGTAAATTGGTACAACCAGTTTGGAAAATAGTTTAGCAGTATCTAATAAAATTGCATATAGTCACACATTGTGAGATGGCAATTACACTCATAGGTATATGCCCCAGAGAGATTCACACATTATTTCTCCAACAGACATGTATAAGAAAGTTCATAGCAGCACTATTTATATTAGTTCTAACCTGGAAACAACCTAAATGTTATTTGAAAATATAGGGGGTAGAAAATATAATATTGATATAAATTTCTATAAAATAAAAATGAACAAATAAAAGTAATGAAGTGAACAATCAAGCAATAAAACTGAATAAATTACAAGTACATGCCTCAAAATGTTTGAAACACAAAAATACTGAGTGAAAGGATACAGGCAGAAAATAAGTACCTATATTATGATGTCATTTGCATAAAGTTTAAAATCAGATAAAACTGTTTTATGGTGTTAGGATTCAGGATAATGATTATCTTTTGAGGGTAGTGAGAGCAAGAAGTGAAATGAGGGTTCTGCGTGCAGTGGCTCAGGCCTGTAATCCCAGAACTTTGGGAGTCTGAGGCAGACAGACCACGAGGTCAGGAGTTCGAGCCCAGCCTGGCCAACATGGTGAATCTCCGTCTCTACTGAAAATACAAAAATTAGCTGGGCGTGGTGGTGCATGCCTGTAGTCCAGCTACTCGGGAGGCTGAGGCAGGAGAATCACTTGAACCTGGGAGGCAGAGGTTGCAGTGAGCAAGGCTCCGTTTAAAAAAAGAAAAATTGGAATGAGGGAGACTTTGAGGTGCTGATTATATTCTACTTTTAGATCTAAATGCAAGTTACACGGTGAGTTCCTTTTAAGAAACCTCTTTGTTTCTGTAAAGTTGTCGTATGTGTTCTTTTCTCTGTATGTATTATTTATTTGACACAGGTTCTTGCTCTGTTGCCCAGGTTGGAGTGCAGTGGCACAATAGCTCACTGCAGCCTCAAACTCCTGGACTCAGGTGATCCTCCCTTCTCAGCCTCTCAAGTAGAGTAGCTGAGACTACAGGTGCACAACACCATGCCTTACAGCTTTTTAATTGTTTTGTAGAGACGAGGTTTCACTATGTTTGCCCAGGCTCATTTTGAACTCCTGGCCTCAATCGATCTTCCCACTTTGGCCTCACACCTGGGATTACAGGTGTGAGCAACCATGCCCAGCCCCTCTATATGTTTTATACTTAAAATGTCTTTTTAAAAAATTAAGAGGCTGTTGTTTATCAAAAAAAAAGACCATTACGAAAGTGAAAACAAAAAGACAGAATGAGAGAATATGTTTACAGCACATATAACAGACAATTTGTAACAGGGATCATTTATGAAAAATGTTTAGGTGTTATTAAATGGCTCCTTTAACATGCATTATCTCAGATAATCTTCACAACAACCCCATGACTACGCTCATTTTAACTTAAGAAGAAACTGAGGTTTAGAGAGTTTGAGTGACTCTCCTCAAGTCACAAAGACAGGATGACTCCAAACCAATTCTCTTATGCTTTTAAATGGTATAGTAAACTGTTACAAGAATTTGACAAGTCACTCCTCCAGCAGCTTACATATTTTTGTTTCTCAAAACTTTATAATATACATAAAAAACAAGAAATATTGTTTTAATATTTTATTTTCCCAACTTTTATTTTAGATCAGGGGTAAAATGCAGGTTTTTTACCTGGATATATTGTATGATGCTGAAGCTTGGGGTATGAACGATCCCATCACCCAGGTGCTGAGCATAGTACCCAAAAGGTAATTTTTCAACCCTTGTCTCCCTCCCACCTCCCCGCCTAGTAGTCCCCAGTTTCTACTGTTGCCATCTTTAGGTCCATGAGTACCCCATGTTTAGCACACACTTTTAAATGAGAACATGTGGTAGTTTTCTGTTCCCAAGTTAATTTGCTTAGGATAATGGCCTCCAGCTGCATCCCTTTTACTGCAAAGGACATTATTTCATTCTTTTTATGGCTGCATAGTATTCCATGGTCCAAAACAGACTTAAAAGTACAAATGTGCATACAAGTAATATACTCATTGAAGTACATAGAGAGATAATGTGGTATATCAGAAAGCACAAGCTTTGGAATCCTGGGTCCATCATTTACTGTGTGGTCTTTAGAAAGTAACTTCAAATCTTGACTTCCTTGTTGGTAAGATGGCGGTACTTTAGTATATAACAAGAACAGTGCCTAGTAATGTGGAATGAATGAATGCTTTTTAATAGGGCAAAAATTGGTTAAGTTCTTACAATGAATATTCTTTCAAATATGTTAAAACATCTAAAATGTTTATAATTATTTTACCTTTATAGATAGACACAATTTACTATATAATATTAGCTGACATAATCAGTTAATTGTAGTCTGGCACACAATTTAAGTTGAAACTGAGTAATAGCCTTGTGCTTTAATACTTTCTATAATATATGGAGAAGGTCTGCTGTACAAAAATAACTGAAATGCACCAAGGGTAAGAAAAACAACTTCTGGAAATGTAAACAAAACCTAGTTTAATTAAACTATCATATAAATATGTATCATAGGGTACAAATTGTTTTAATTGAATATTGTATTTTCATTTCAAAATAAAAACAATATAAAATTTAAAAGGAATAAATATCCCTGTCATGGCTTATATTTCACTTTGAGATGCAACTGATCCTGGTATCCTTTAACCATAAAGGCAAATTGAAAAGTGTCAGTCCATGTCCATAATATTTAAAATAGAAGTTAAAAATTTTATATATATATATATATATATATATATATATATGTAGAGAGAGAGATAGGAGTTCGGTATTCAAAGCTTTGATGTTTGGAAAGTAATTCAGGCCATCACTCTCATTTCTGGAATCTGGTTTCAGTGTAGAAATTTGGACATGCTATTCCTTTCCAAATGAATTAAAGTACATATTTGTGTAACTACTTTTGAATGCATTTGCAGAGAATTATTCAAAGTGTTTATTCAGATGAATTATAATGCCAACAAAAAAAGCCAAGTTTTTGATCCAATTTTTTCTAGTGAGCTGAGACATGCATTTTCTCTCAAATGGTATTAACAGGTTGGTGTCTTTCATCAGTTAAAACATCTTTTGTTGTACCATGCCAACCCTGTCATCACACCTTCCGATAGTACACCAGACTACTACATTCTCCAAGCAAAGGCTTGAACTCACTGTGACTTACATCATAGAAGACTATTTGATTCATGATGATAATGACCATGTGCCCATTACTTATTCCATTTTTAATACCTTACCCCCAAAAGTGATACCTGAACAATGCAATAAAGAGACCTGTGTTCAAAAGTGTATAACCATGAATTTAATTGTAATAACCAGACCAACCACAATAGCAACCAATGACAAGTAACCATCTGTTGTAGTTGTGCTTCTTAATTTTGACTGGCCTACATTGACTTTTCAATCCATTTCTTAACACATAAATGGTTTCTTTTGTCGTACTCATGAGAGTCACTAGATCAAAACGTTCTTCAATCACATTGTTACCAGTTGGTTCATGTACTCCAAATTTATATGTTGAAGTTCTAGCCACTAGTATCTCAGAATTAGTCCCTGTTTAGAAATAGGGTCACAGCTGATATAACCAGTTAATCTGAGATGAGGTCATACTGGAGTAGGAGAGGACCCAAATTCAGTATGGCTTGTGATCTTATAAAGAGAAATTTGGACACAGAAAAACATACAAAGAGAACACCATGTGAAGATTGGGGTGATGCTATCACAAGCCAAGGAACTACCAGAAGTTAGGAGAGAGATTTGAAACAGACCCCTCCCTAATGCCTTCAGAGTAAGTATGGCCCTGCTGACACCTTGATTTCAGACTTTTGGCCTCCAGAACTGTGGTACAGTAAATTTCTGTTTTTTAAGCCATTCAATTTGAAGTACTTTGTTATAGCAGCCCTAGCAAACTATTTCACATATAATATACTTACTGACACTATTAGTAAAATTAGATAACAAGAATTACTGAAAGGGGAGGCATCAAAAATTGTTTGTCTTTTTTCCTTAACTTCTCTAAGTTCATCTGTAAATGCAAAACTAAGTGCCCCAATAATACTTGTTAGATTATTTTTGGGATTGTTTCTTTATGTTTGGGACAGATAATTCTTTGCTGTGAAGAATTCTTACATTGCTAAGTAGACAATATTTCTTAAATTTCCCACCTAAAATTTATGGTATCGAGTTTATGTTTTCAATTATTAAATAATTTTATTTCACAGTATTGTCATTATTTCATTTGTATTCTAAAATAAACACTGTTGAAATATTATTTGTTCAATTTTATTGAAGTTTTTATCACATATCTTTTCTGAAGTGCAGTTAGCGTTTTTACCATAAATTTGTTCACAACGACATATTTTCAATAAAGATACACTCTGCACATTAAACAGGTAGGAATATTCTACACTCCCATTGAGAAAACACTTACTCCAATTTTTCTTGAAACTTGTAGCCCACTTGGACTATCTATTATATACGAAGTGCTGTCAAATATAATTTTTAAGATTTATATAAGAAAATAAAAACACCAAGAAATGACGAAGATATCCAGCCCCAGTGTTGGGAGAATATAGGATGTGATAGAGGCTCCAGAGGTCATGTCCTGTATAAAGAAAGTGTCAGACATTGAAATCCAGTGACTTCCTCCTAGCATGTTGTCAGATGTGCCAACTTTTAAATAATGGCAAATAAAAACACATGGAAACTTTTAAAAGACATATATCTTTGGTTCATTTTTGGCTTCTGGTTAGACGCTTTGATTTGTTGACCAGTTCTATCATGTACTAACTCAAACTAAAAATAACCAAGAGTTTGTTTTGTTTTGTTTTGTTTGAGCCTGTGGCATTTACTCATGCCTCTCAGCAACCACAGTCAGAGACAAGGACCTTGCTTTAAACAGAAAAACCAAAGGCTGGAATTCTGGATTATATCCTCCCAGTCCTCTTTCCCAGAAACCTCTCCAGATGTGTAAAAAATTCTTGTGGATGATGATGCTCTGGGGAGGGACAAATGTGCAAAACACCACACCTGGACCAAGGCAGCAGAAGAAAGGACTTTGCTAAGGAAAAGCAAGGCCCAAGACTAGGACCTGGGGTTCTAGAGGGGAGAAAGAGCCCCTCCACCACCACCATTGGACCTGGAGAGTCTCTATGCAGTCCTGGACTAGAAGGAACTAAAAAGGGAAGCCTTCAGCATGAAGTCCCAGGAGGTAGGAAAGGGAGGGTGGGTAGATTTTGCACCCCTATGCAAAAAAGTGGCAAGGGGGAGATATATTGGAGACCTTAGATAATGGAAGACCTCTCCAGTGGTGATTCTGGTGCACCTGAAATGCCACCCAAGTGGTCATCTCAAATACCTCCTGTTTTCCCTATCCTGGTCTTAACTGAGCATAGGCGGTAGCCAAGGCACTGATCCCAAGGCTTCTTTTGACACAGCTGGCTCTTACTTCATCTTAGCCAGCCCTCTCTGGGTATGTTAATCTTTCATCAAGTCCTTCTCTGAGATACTAGAATTATGAGTATGTAGGGGCATACACGTCCACGAAAGTAGGGCTTGTTTTCATAATTTTTGCCTCAGTGATTGAATGGTGCCACCATTATTTTACCTAGACATCCACAGCAGAAATCCTGCCATCATCATAATTTTACACATCCAAAATATATTTTTCTGTTCCTATAATACTTCTTCAAACTTTTAAATCTGCCCCTCCTTGAAATCCTCTAACCTTTTTACAGATTATCATGAATTTTCATTCTGGATGATTTTTCAAAGTATTTTTAATTTACTTCCCTCACAACACGTGTTAGAACACAAGAGTCTCCTTTCTGAAACACAAATTTTATGTGTGTGTGTGTGTGTGTGTGTGTGTGTGTAAAACATATAGAATGCATAATATATAAAAATAGTTTTAACTAGAGCTATTTTAATTCCAAAACAAAATGTATAAAATAAAAAAATTAAACCAATAAATCAAAGAACAATAGCAGGTTTTTTCTTTTTTCTTTTTTTTTTTTTTACTGGTTTGACTTAGTACCAGATTCTGATACTTTTTTCATTTATTCCAAGATCTCAGTGTCAGAGCTTGCATTTTTCAAGACCTACAGTATATGAAGGTCATTGCAAAATGGTGACTGAGTTAAATAGGTGGAAAACACTGATAAGCCTTCTAAAAGCTTATATTTTGTTACAATAAATTTGTTTATTTAGATAGGAGATACATGTACTATTAAGATGCATAGGGCTGGGCGCAGTGGCTCATGTCTGTAATCCCAACACACTGGGAGGCTGAGGAGGGCAGATCACGAGGTCAAGAGTTCAAGACCAGCCTGGCCAACATAGTTAAACCCAGTCTCTACTAAAAATACAAAAAATTAGCCAGGAGTGGTGGCAGGCTCCTGTAATCCCAGCTACTCGAGAGGCTGAGGCAGGAGAGTCGCTTGAACCTGGGAGGTGGAGGTTGCAGTGAGCGGAGATGATGCTACTGCATTCTAGCCTGGGCAACAGTGCGAAACTCCATCTCAAAAAAGATACATGATTGGTACAGAAACTCTAAATTCCTAAACTTTCTCGATCTTTTATGGTTTCGCACCTACTGTGCCTTTCAAACATTATTTTGTCTCCTCCCATAACTCTACTGTGAGTTCCTTGAGGGTAGAGTTTGAATGCTTCTTTGTTTCCCCACTTTCTTGAATAAGCCTGAGACATTATCAGTAGTCAAAACTGATCAATAGTGATTACTATTTATTATTGTTCTTTAATCATTTTTATCCCCACCTATAAATTCCTAAGAACGAGGACTATAGCATCTTCTTGGTTTGTGGTTTGTGGCTTATTTAATAACCACATTGACTATAATAAATAATTTATAAAATTATGTACAAGGTACAAAACAAGGAAGATGAATAAATCATCCCCAAATGGTCAATATTAATATAGTCATATACTGAGTAACTTTCATATGAGAAGAATTTGATTTAGTTTATGACTTGAATCATCTACCGCTTCATTAAAAAGACTCTGCAAAGACATAGTTCCTGAAAACAATTTCATGTTGAAGATGCCAAAAACAATGGCAAAAAAAGGGACCTAACTAAAATAAAGAGCTTCTGCACAGCAAAATAAATTATCAACACAGTGAGCAGACAATCTACAGAATAAGAGAAAATATTTGCAAACTATGCATCCTACAAAGGTCTAATATCCAGAGTCTACAAGCAGCATAAATAAATTAACAAGCAAAAAACAAACCACCCCATTAAAAAGTGGGCAAAGATCACACAAACAGACACTTTTCAAAAGAAGACATACACATGGCTATCAAGCACATAAGAAAAAAAAACTCAACATTACTAATCATCAGAGAAATGCAAATTAAAATCACAGTGAAATACCATTTTACATCAGTTAGTGTGACTACTATTAAAAGTAAAAAAGTAGCAGATGCTGGCAGGGTTGCAGAGAAAAGAGAATGCTTATACACTGCTGGTGGTAGTGTAAATTAGCTCAGCCATTGTAGAAAGCAGGGTGGTAATTTCTCAAAAAACTTCAAACCTATGTACCATTTAACAAAGAAATACCGTTATTGGGTATATACCCAATGGAATGTAAATCATTTTACCATAAAGATATGTGCATACAGTACTATTCACAATAACAAAGACATGGAATAACCTAAATGCTCATCAAAAGTAGATTGGATAAAGAAAAGATGGTACATATACACCATGGAATATTACGCATCCATTAAAAAGAACGAGATTATGTCTTTTGTGGGAACATGGATGCAGCTAGAGGCCAGTATGCTAAGCAAACTTACACAGGAACAGACAACCAAATACTGCATGTTCTCACTTATAAGTGGAAGCTAAGCACGAAGTAGACACGGACACAAAGAAGAGAACAGCAAACACTGGGGCCTACAGGAGGACGGAGGGTGGGAGGAGGAAGAGAATCAAAAATCTACCTATCAGGTACTATGCGTGGTACCTGGGTGACAAAATAACCTGTACACTCAACTCCCATGACAAGCAATTTACCTACATAACGAACCTGCACATGTACGCCTGAACATAAAATAAATAATATGTTAATATTGTTGAAATTTAATCAATTCAAATAAAGTAGAAGCTGGTGTACCCATTGGGAAATCAGTCTGTAATTCATCCTCTCCTAAGAGGTAACCTCTGTTGAGAGTTTGATTTATAACCTACCAGAATTTTTACTTATATTTATCATGTTGGTCTTGTGTGTGTTTCAAAATAAATTATGTCAACAGCATCATTGTATGATTTGATGTTTTAACCTGCAACATTCATGTCAATTTGTACAGATTGACCTCATTTGCACAACAGATAGTCCATAGTTTTAATAACTATTTGATAATTCCTCTTGCTGTCATTATTAAAGTCCAAACAATGTAAAAAACCCCTGCATATTTACTCTAACGAGAATATTGGATACTTTTTTTACATTTTTAATTCAAATAATTTGTGTTCCTAATTTCCAAGTGAGAGAAATAACCTAAGTTATATAAAAAGTCTGGTTGTATTAAGTGTAAAACTTGAATGAGATTAAGGAATTCTTAGATCTGTCCCAAATCTTTTCTTACACTATTATGTTACATAAACTCCAGAAATATCTTCATTCTTATTACCAATTAATATTTGGTATTGTACTTTGACAGACAGTAGATTGATACGTACTACAATGCAATGAATTTGTAAGACAAAATGCTACATAACATCTTTATATATCATATAAACTTGGTAATATAGCACATTGGTTTATATAAAGTTATATTATAGGCCTTTTAGAATTTACAGATTTAGAATAAGTGTGCACCAAAAGGAAATAATGAGAAAAATGATAGTCTCTTATTGATCTTCTTGATGATAAAATTTATGTATTTTTATAATTCTAAGGTGTATCTCTGTATATATTATATTCTATAAATTACACTCAATGAATGACCTTCAAGTTTCATATCTTTTTCTATTCTTTTTAATAGTATTGCTGGTTTATATTTATTTAGTCATAAACAGAACTGACATGAATTTAAACCCACTTAAAACTTTTAGTATTTTTCAAAGGAGAATTAGAGTAAATATCAACCCAATTAAATGATACTGACATTTTGAAAATGCTGTCATTATATATTATAAGAAGGAAGAAAAACAAAACAACCAAATAACATCACAGAAAGTAAGCCATTTTAAAGGAACATTCTAGATATAGCACATATTAGCAAATTGCAGGAGTTCTAGAGATGTACCTACTTCCCTAAACAACCTATAAATACTCAAATAATGTTATCTACTAAAAGTTTAACTTGAAAATCAACCTAATGTATCTGTTCAAAAACTTGACCACACCCTGACTGAAATTCTTAACATAAAGGAAGAAAGTGACAGTTTAAAGGAGAACGTGACATAAATGGAAGCACAGATATATCCTGTAACTCTTTTTATAAGCATTTTCCGGAAAGAAGGTGTCTTAAAGCAAATGTGAACATATCTCTAAAAGAGGTTGATATCTCAGGATGACACAGCTTAGTGCCATTATATATCCAAACAAATGCTTGTTCTGAATACAGTCTATAAATAATACCCTAATTATAATTTAACTGACTTAAATTACAGTTGGCCTACAAAGGGAGATTACACTAAGAATAAATAAATATATGTTTGCAGGTAACATCATATTGTATTTAACAAATTGGAATTTTAAGATATAATAATGAGTGCCAAATAGTATTCCTCAGGCCAATTCACGCTGAATGATCATAAGTACTAATGACTGCACCAGTAAGATCATGATGATGAAACTAAAATTAATTGAATGTTTATCATGGACCAGGCACAATATTAAGCATTTTAACAGCTTAAATGTGCTGTCGCATTTAATCTACAAACATGCCAACCCTGTAAGGTAGGTCTTATTATTATATCCATTTTACTGATGGGCAAATCAAGTTTCAAAGTGGTTAGGCCACTTGCTCAGGGTTCCTAGGAAGCAGTATGGCACAAATGCAATTACAGATCTGTCTGGCTTTAGACTCTGTGCTCTCAGACTTTACTGTACTCCTCCCAGAGCAAGGCTACTATAGGGATGACATCTTGGCCTGACTGACCAAGGCTGTTTTAGAGTTCTACAACTCATATATTTGAGAAAATGAAGTATGGTAGAAATTATATTTGGAATTTGGTGTGCCAATAAATTTTCAGTATAAAACAACTAAATCATAGTGCTATTGACAAATATCTTAGCAAAGAGACTGAAAATCAAAAGGGACAAGAACAATGATAAATCTTCTGTTATGTATTAGTGTAGTAAAATACCAAAGGCTCAGACTGCCCCTTCTGAATTGTTACTTTCTGTAGCTGAAGCACTTTAGTCTTCATGGATGTCAGTCTTCACAAGCATTAATTCAGCTTAAAAGAAAAACGTGGCAGCTTCATTCATCTCCTGAGACATTGTATCATGACTTGCTACAGAAACACTTTGCATTTAAAGTGCTGAAAATGTTCAGAAACATTATACTTTGAATATAAGAGTTAAAGGCTTCAAATACTATGCTATGGTAAGTAAGGTAAGTCACTGAACATAGAAATATAGTAGCACTACCATATGCAATGTTGAAGGATGATCCCCTGAATCAAAATATTTTGCTAACAAATGTATTACACAAAATCCTGTTTTGAGAATCTACTAATAAATATCCAGTAAAGGACAGTAGAAAATGGATAAATGCATGTGATTAGTCTCCTATCCTCTCAAACTCATAGCTCATCAGATGTCATTATTCATATCAGCTATAACTCCACCATAGATTTTCAAAATATTTCAATGGTCTCCTACTATTTAAGCAGAAGTATTGAAAGAAATAATTATACGTAAACTGTGTCTTCTCATTTAACCATTAATAGGGGATAATATATATTTCAATAGAGAGACAAAAATCATAAGAAAATATGTTAAATAAATATGATTTTAAAGTAGAGAATAGAGGAACATTAAAGGTCAAGAGCTACTTCCCTACATACCTGACAGAACCTGTTTCCTAAATTCACTTGATGTACTTTGAGCTGCATTAGGAAACTGCCACAATAATGCAGCAAGGAATAGTAGTAACTTGACGTTAATGATGTGTCATGTTAGCATATTTAGATTCCAAGAGTAACAGTGTTTGATAAATATGATGTAACAGATATGATATATTTTCACTAGGAGATTCAAATAGAATCTACTCATTCGTAAAAATCAGCAGCAGCATCAAATAGACTTATGATGAATGAAGAAACGCAGATGTGCTAGGTCCTGTCTTTAAGGAATTCAGAAATTCCTTGGAAATAAGGCACAGGTATGTAACAGAAAAATAAAACACATATATTAAGCAAAATAATATAAGTATTCAAATAAAGGTCAACAAATGGTTGAGAAGAAACAGAATTTGAGACAGGACTAAAAATCAGTAATACAGTTGTCCCCACTTATCCATGACCCACATTGGACACCTAAAACCATGGATAGTACCAAACACTATATACACTACGTTTTTTGTATATGTAAATACCTCCGATAAAGTTTAATACATACATTAGGCATAGTAAGAGATTAACAACTAATAATAAAGTAGAACAATAGCAATATAATGAAACAAAATCATGTGAATATGACCTCTATTTTCCTCTCTTTATACCCCTCTCGAAATATCTTATTGTAGTGTACTTACTTTATTTCAGACCACAGTTGACTGTGGATAACTGAAACGCAGAAAACAAAACCACAGATAAGGTGGGGACTACTATCAATTTTATAACCAAAGAGATTGAGAAAGGTCAATCTGAGAATAATAGTTGAAGCAAAGTATAAAGAAAAACATCAATTAACATTTCTCAATTGCCAATATGCATCAGGAACTAAACTAGGCATGTATGTTTATATTATTTTACTTAGTTCTTATAAACAACTGTGAAGCAGACAGTATTAGGCTCATTGTATAACTGAGTAAACTGAGGTTCCTAGAGAATAAGTTAACTGGCCTAAGTCACATAAGTAGCACGTAATAGTCAATCGGTAATAAACTGTACTCATAGAGATAAAATGATTATTAGAATAAGAAGATATATAAGGCAAAGTAGTAAAGAGTTTCAAAAGAAGGTGGTGTAGCAAAGAGGGCAAAGTTATGGGTCTGTGCTCAGACATACTTGATCTCAAATTCTGGCTGCAGTAAGTATCAGCCGTGTGAGTTCAAGATGGTTTGATTATATATATATATATAGTTACATATATACATTTTATAATGTATCTTAGCTATATAAATTTTATATATTTAATATACATTTTATATATAAATAAATGAGTTTCAGATATTTACATATACTTTATATATAAATTTTAATGTACTGTTTTACTGAGATGAAGAAAATATGATGAAATTTTGTAAAAATATTTCAACTGAAGATATTTAATAAAATATTGTCTCAGAAGAAGCTGATGATCATTATACAGTATAAGAATTATAGTGAAAAGACTGGCACTACACAATTCTTCCTCTGACATTGATAAAAACAAAGAGAATGGAGCTGTGAATACAGATGCCCGCACCACACCTGGCTAATTTTTGTATTTTCAGTAGAGACGGGGTTTCACCATGTTGACCAGGCTGGTCTCAAATTCCTGACCTCAGATGATCCACTTGTCTCGGCCTCCCAAAGTGCTGGTATTACATGCATGAGCCACTGCGCCTGGCCAGAAATATTTTAAAATGGCCATACTGCCAAGGTAATTTATAGATTCAATGCCATCCCCATCAAGCTACCAATTTTCTTCACAGAATTGGAAAAAACTACTTCAAAGTTCATATGGAACCAAAAAGAGCCCGCATCGCCAAGTCAATCCTAAGCCAAAAGAACAAAGCCGGAGGCATCACGCTACCTGACTTCAAACTATACAAAAAGGCTACGTAATCAAAACAGCATGGCACTGGTACCAAAACAGAGATACAGATCAATGGAACAGAACAGAGCCCTCAGAAATGATGCCGCATATCTACAGCTATCTGATCTTTGACAAACCTGAGAAAAACAAGCAATGGGGAAAGGATTCCCTATTTAATAAATGGCGCTAGGAAAACTGGCTAGCCATATGTAGAAAGCTGAAGCTGGATCCCTTCCTTACACCTTATACAAAAATTAATTCAAGATGGATTAAAGACTTACATGTTAGACCTAAAACCATAAAAACCCTAGAAGAAAACCTAGGCAATACCATTCAGGACATAGGCATGGGCAAGGACTTCATGTCTAAAACACCAAAAGCAATGGCAACAAAAGCCAAAATTGACAAATGGGATCTAATTAAACTAAAGAGCTTCTGCACAGCAAAAGAAACTACCATCAGAGTGAACAGGCAACCTACAGAATGGGAGAAAATTTTCGCAACCTACTCATCTGACAAAGGGTTAATATCCAGAATCTACAATGAACTCAAACAAATTTACAAGAAAAAAACAACCCCATCAAAAAGTGGGTGAAGGATATGAACAGACACTTCTCAAAAGAAGACATTTATGCAGCCAAAAGACACATGAAAAACTGCTCATCATCACTGGCCATCAGAGAAATGCAAATCAAAACCACAATGAGATACCATCTCACACCAGTTAGAATGGCAATCATTAAAAACTCAGGAAACAACAGGTGCTGGAGAGGATGTGGAGAAATAGGAACACTTTTACACTGTTGGTGGGACTGTAAATTAGTTCAACCATTGTGGAAGTCAGTGTGGCAATTCCTCAGGGATCTACAACTAGAAATACCACTTGACCCAGCCATCCCATTACTGGGTATATACCCAAAGGACTATAAATCATGCTGCTATAAAGACACATGCACACATATGTTTATTGTGGCACTATTCACAATAGCAAAGACTTGGAACCAACCCAAATGTCCAACAACGATAGACTAGATTAAGAAAATGTGGCACATATACACCATGGAATACTATGCAGCCATAAAAAATAATGAGTTCATGTCCTTTGTAGGAACATGGATGAAACTGGAAATCAACATTCTCAGCAAACTATCACAAGGACAAAAAACCAAACACCGCATGTTCTCACTCATAGGTGGGAATTGAACAATGAGAACACATGGACACAGGAAGGGGAACATCACACTCTGGGGACTGTTGTGGGGTTGGGGGAGGGGGGAGGCATAGCATTAGGAGATATACCTAATGCTAAATGACGAGTTAATGGGTGCAGAAAACCAACATGGCACATGTATACATATGTAACAAACCTGCACATTGTGCACATGTACCCTAAAACTTAAAGTATAATAATAATAAAATAAAATAAAAATAAAACAAAATAAAATGTATAAATACCATTATATTATGGTAGGAACACAATGTGTTGGATTTTCTCAAAGCTCTCAAAATCATGGAAAACAAACTCATCTCCTAAATGTGAAGATGTCAGGACATCTTTGGATAGTCTAGAAAATAAACATCCCCAGCATCTCACTTGGCTTAAAACTACAAAGGTTTTTGTTCATGAAAATTTGACCTGCTGACTCTCCATGGCAACTGCCTCCATACCTCCATGACAATTCGGGTTGTCAGAAGTCCCCACAACCTTGTGGCTTCATAATTTCAATCATAAGGTCTCTGGTTCAAAAGGCAGGGAAGAAAAATACAGGATGTCTTCTGCTGAGTGTCATTCAGAATCCATTTCTACTCAGAACCTTCTGGTCCTATATAACAGTAAGGACATCAGGAGTAAAATCTTCTTTATGGGGGTAAGGAGAACCGAATGGTAACTGGCACTAGAAGTCTACCACAGAATATGAGGAGGTGGGATTTTAAATTTGGTAAGTGTAGACAATGTTTGACATAGTCACTGGGGAATACGAAAAAGAGTCATAAAAAGCTGAATAAAAGCATGGCCAAGCACCACTGAAAGTTCAATCAGAGATTATAGATTTATGATAGTTTCAGTCCTCATACTATTTTGATTTTCTGAGACCACAAGGAGAAAGACTATATATTGATACGGCTGGAAGTCAAGGGGGAAATTATATTGCAATCATGGAGATAATTTGAATAATTTTATTATAAAATATTGAGTCTGGGCAAAAAGCCAAGTGAAGCCAAAAGGGGCTAAAAGCCTGAGCCAAGTATATTTCAGATGTGACTGATGCTGAAGGTGCCTAGACATATGAGTAGGTAAATTACAGTAAGGCAATAAGAAGAGCCATCATTAGCATCAGCATCTTTTCTGATCAAGGGTCAATAGCATCTCTAATCTCTTAAATTTAGAAATAAAATTGTTCCATTGAATGAATGGACAGTGATAAAGAAGCTGTGTGCTCATTGCATACCTATATGAGCCTAACAATGACCTTTTGTAAAAACCGCCCCTCTTGACTAATGCCTTACTTTTTGCATGACAGGCTGCCTCAAATCTCACTGCTGAAGCTTTTCATACTGGGGATGAACTTATGGTACTATTTCACAGGCCACTAAAAAGGAACAGACCACACTTGATGTTCCTATGAACAGAGTACTGTGCCAGAAAAAAAAAAAAAAATATATATATATATATATATATCTTCTAAGTTAATGAATATAATAGTATATCTAAAATTATTTTTCGTGGTGTATTTCTGGCCTGTAATATACAACAATAACAATCACATAAGCAAAAAAAAAAAAAAAAAAGAGAGACAGTAACTTGATAGCCTCATACTCATTATGAGGACGTTAAGGAACAGTAAATTAGAATCAGTAATGGGGTTATTTTGCCTCCATTTTATTGAAAGGAGTGGCATCCATATTTTACCTGGATTATTATCTACAGTTAATTAAGTGAACCATTTATAATGTTGACTGCCTGTTGTCAGCTGATTATCACTGCCATTTGTTGACAAATAAATAAATAGGAGAGAGTAGTCATCAAAAATACTGACTTGTCCTGGCACAGGGGCTCAAGTCTGTAATCCCAGCACTTTGGGAAGCCGAGGTGGGTGGATCACCTGAGGTCAGGCATTCAAGACCAGCCTGACCAACATGGCGAAACCCTATCTCTTCCAAAAATACAAAAAAAAAAAAAAAGTAGCTGGTGTGGTGGCGGGCACCTGAAATCCCAGTTGCTCACGAGGCTGAGGCAGGGAGAATTGCTTGAACCCAGGAGGCAGAGGTTGCAGTGAGCCAGGATCCCGCCACCGCACTCCAGACTGGGCAACAGAGCGAGACTCTGTCTAAAAATAAATAAATAAATAAATAAATAAATAAATAAATAAATAAATAAATAAAACTGACTCATGTTCATTTATACTTTCAGATTAAAGAAAAACTACTCAGAAAGTCATTTACTTTAAAATGTTAAGCATTTTAAGAAAACATTCATGGTGCCAAATCACAAATATATCATTGAAAATGTACTTTTGTGATTTTATAAGTCAGAAACATTTAATCTTGAGTTTTTAAGCTTTGATTTTTGGGTGCCTATCCTACTTAAAACTTCCCGAACAGATGTCTCATCAGTATCTATCTTGGCAGTTAAGCAGCTATGCTTATTGTAGGCATGTTTTGGAATTGGTATCTAATTTCATTCGTAGGTATTTGGTGATGTAAGGCAAATTCAATGTCATTAATTTGTTAGTGTCTCTGGTTTGTCTCTGAACTAGCCTTAGCCTGTTCAATATTTATCATAATTAAAACTAGTAGAAGCCTCTAGATCATTATGTACAACACTTTATCTAGGTGATACCTATGTGAACCTACCTATAACATGTAAAAATACCTATAACATGTAAAATGTCATATGTACAATATTTTACATAGGTGATACCAAAACTATAATAAATCAAAATTATCACGTTATTCTCATTATTTGATATTGAACTGCATATCAGTTCTCATTATTTGACTGTTAGACATGATAGATATAGATATAGAAAGTAAAGCTTTCCCTTTGATGGTTGACTAAATAGTCTACAGTGAATAGACATTTTAAGCACTGAGTGTAGATTTAGGCTTTGTATGTCTTCTTCTGTAATCTGTTAGCATGTATGAGCTAGAAATTCATCTCATTTTCTCTATCTTTCTAACCCCTGTCATGCAATTGATACTAAATAAATACTGGTTGAATAAGCAATCATATCAATTGAGAAATTCTGCTGGACATGCTTATACATATTACAAACCAAAAGGTACTTTTTAAACATTAAAATTATACTGAAAAATATTTTCTTTGAATTTCATGTTTTAGTGTACCCTCATAATATGGTAAATTATTTTTACTTCTAACATAAAATAAACTTGCTTTATACTGGCTTTGTGTTCAATTCCTTTTATAATTAAGCTTTTATAAAATCAAAGACTTGGTCTCCTTCCTTTCCTTTTTTTATATTTAATTTCTATTATGAATCTTTTTAAAAATATTTTTAGCATCTAGTACACTTAACACATAATAGACAATATATTTCTATTTAGTGAAAAACATGACTGAATAAAGGAATTTACTGAGGGCACTTATGTAAGGGTTCCTCTGGAGCAGTTGCAAATAGGAGATAATTAGAACTGGTGAATTTTGAACTAAAATATGATGCTAAAGAGGGAGAAAAACAAATGTCATATATCCTTTTCATTCCATAGAATAGTCCTTGAACAAATTAGGTTAACAAGAAATTACTTGACAAATATTACCTATTGGGTTGCCAATTGTTTTCATACGACGTGTACCAGCAAGCAGATTATTGACAATATAATCCCCTTTCATTATTTGTTAAGTTAATTAATTTCAAATTAGAAATAGGTTTTGCTTTTACATTTGTTATTAAATAAAAGTGACAGAAAATAAAAAATAAAAATCCATTTTAAAAACTGGCCTTTATGTTAAATAAACAAAGCAAAATAATTTTCTAAATGTTTCCAATTATTTTGGCTGTGTAGAAATGCTATTTCTCTGAAAATAATGGAGGCATTTGAAAGAAAAAAATCAGGTTTTGAGAAATTGTGTGCAATTAAGCCTTAGCGATAAACATGAGGGCATGGAAAGGTGATTGCTGGGGAGCCCACAAGAGTGTGTCTTTGTAACCCTGTCAGCCTTATGGGAGGACCAATGTCAATAATGGGTTCTCGGGGTCCCTGCAGTCAAGAGATCATGCACCCTAGAATGCCACATGAGCCTGGGCTTCATTTTGAATTTTAGATTCCTCCAGGTGAAGAACTTCCCCATACATTTTTATGTTCTTTTGTTTTTTAACAGTCCTAAGGCTGCTTCAGAAAACTGCCTATGGACAATGTTTCTTTAAGAAAAATAAATAAAAAATCACTAAGATTCCCTCTGTGCACAAACACACACATTGCATATTATATACCATACACACTTGGGTATTTGCTTAGGATATTTTTAAGGGTACAAGTAAATGTTCTTCTCTTATTTGCATCTTTAAGACATCAGAAAATTACAAATATGACTAAAGCTAAGTTCAGATTCTAATAACACAGCAAAATCATTTGGGTACTCAATATTTAGACATGCTGTATAGATAAGGATAAATATTTATTGTGAACACAGTATAATTTATGATTAAAATCACAAAATATGTAATAGTTTTACATGTTAACACATACAATATGCAGACCATTAGGAGTTAATAGCTCTAGGCCAGGTCTAAGTTAGTATTATATTCACACATCTTAGCTTTTCTTTTTTCCAAAATCAATATCTGCAAATAATAAATGAGATCCCAGAGGGTTGAGTTAAGCTCCAACCACCACAGAACAACTCTGCAATTGGTCATTGACTCAATAATGCAGGTGAGTGCCACACTATAGAACATCTTTAGCACACTGTAATAGAAAATTAATAGCTTTCAAATCAGCAGTAGCGTTACCCTAAGGATTACATAATAGCTTGGGTTAGAACAATCACCCAAATCCAAGAAGTATACAAGTCATAAAACCTGAGTAAGATACAGAAGCTCCAACATTTTGCTTAATTTGTTCCATGTATTCTGTATTCTGCTCAGACAACAAAAGGCGCATGATATAAAAGCATCATACTGACAGCAATGTGCCAAAAGCCGCATTGCAGCAGTATCCATGGTGTTCATATGATGTTTATATATGACAGTACAGTGATTTACATATCAGAATCAGAAACCTGTGCATCGGAAGATTTTTCCTTAAAATTAGTAATAAGTTAACATCCCCTACAGATCTTCATGCTATATTAACATTTATCGAGGTCACAACTTTTCTCCATGAGAAACACAAGCTTTGTTTATTTCCTCTGTCATGTGAACCTCCTTTCAACCATGGACTCTCAAATGACAGCCTGACTGTAGAATCTCAAACTAAATTCCAGAATGAGAGCATAAAAAGTAAAGAAAGGATAACTTATTTATAAATATATTAGTTTACAGAGCTGGGAGCCAATGGCACCAATAACTTATAACCACGTCAGAGTCAAGAAACTGGATCCCTACCATCCTAAAGTGAGGTCAGAAAACTTGCAAGCTGCCCAGCATAAAATATCCATCTGTAAAGAGACAATAGCATGTGATAGAATATCAATTATTCATTTATCCATTTTTCAATGCCAGACAAATCTGTGGATACAGAAGGGCCCAAAAATAAAATTTGGAGGGTTTTCATTTTTACGATGAACATGTTAAAGACAGGCAGGGAGAAAACAAAGTATTTCTAAGCTTTACAAAGTTATCCATTTCCTTCTATTACTTGACATCTTAGATCAGTTCACATCTTTACAAAAACATTTCTTTTCACCTCAGAGAAAAGCCACAGATCAGTCAGATTGTTAAAGAAGCAAATATATCTCCTAATGCTTCTTGTGAAGACACGTGGCTTAAATACATATTTCTAAGTATTGGATTCGGAATCCAAATTATAACTATTTTGCAAACGCTAAGATTAACAATTTAGCAACTAGCCTTAAGTAAAAAGTGAAACCAAAGAAAACCCACAAAAATCATAATAACAAATATTCTTTTGAAAGCATAGATGCTGAAGGATTGTAGACACTTACCCACAGGCTGCCAACATCCAGTCATTTGCCAAAGCTAAAAGCATATGGCATTTTCCCGCAGGCTACTTGTCTTTTATTTTTCACAGGAGTTTCATCACCTAATTTAGCACTATCTGCAAAGATTTGGGATAGCAAATAAAATCTTCCTTCCTGTTTTTTTTTTTATTTTTTTCCTTTTGGTTCTTTCTCCTAGTGGCTTGTGCCATGCACGCAAAATGGCACCTTTCTTTCAATGCAGAAGCAGGCTTTATATACCAAGCATGTGCATGTGAGTATGCCACAAAACACCGGTTCCTTATCATGCGCTTGTTAGCTTGTCCAATCTATGGCAATCACTTCAGTCCCAGGGGTTGAAAGACACAAGACGCAGGGAAAAGGGGAAGCAAAAGCTGAAGAAAGATCAATACTGCACTGTGAAACAAGAAGTGTAGGCTATTTACTTTTCATTGATCTGATGATGCAGGAGAAACACCTCAAACTGGCATTAAATTGAAGGAATACATCTTCTGTGTTTTTTCACTTCAAGGTCAGGAAGGGGCTAAGAAGAAATTAGAACAAACAGAAACTAATCACAGGCATACAATAAAACTATTAATCCACATTACAAACCCACATGGTAACATAATTAAATTTCAGGTTGAATGAGGTTCACAACAAAACAGATACTGCCAAGGTTTTTGTTTAGTTTCGTTTCGTTTGGTAAGTTGTTTTAACTTGTACCTGGAGCAACTACAAAACAATGGCATATGACAACTGAATTGAACTAACATTTAATGCCTTGCTAGAGGCCTGGCATTATTTTGCAAAAATCTTCAAGCAACGTAAAGTCCCAGAAAATAATTAGATACAGATTTTATTCCAGCCACAGAGAAAAGTACTGAGCTTTAATTCCTAGATATTAAAGTTCCCCCCGAAAAAGATCACAAATAGTTTTCTAAAGAATTTGTCATAAAATTCTGTCATTTTTCCTTTAAATTAGAAAATCCTAATGTGTTTAGATAAAAGAGATTTAAATATTTGCAATAGAATAAGGTATTTGAGACCCCCTAAAATGACATATGACTGGATTTTTCAAAAAATTATATACCTCTTTGTCATCAGTATTATGTGAAGAAACTTTTTGTTCATTTATCTGTTCATTCATTCATTCACATGAGTTTCTGTGGGCATTTCCGCATGCATACATATATATATACAGACACATATTTTTAATACGATTTTCACATGGATAGTGGTTTTATTTGGGTCAGAATTACAGAATTCAAGAAACCAAAGCATGGAAATTAAAGTTTATCAAGTGCAGGCTGGGCGCGGTGGCTCACGCCTGTATCCTTTGGGAGGGCGAGGCGGGCGGATCACGAGGTCAGGAGATCGAGATCATCCTGGCTAACACTGTGAAACCGCGTCTCTACTAAAAATACAAAAAATTAGCCGGGCATGGTGGCGGGCGCCTGTAGTCCCAGCTACTCGGGAGGCTGAGGCAGGAGAATGGCGTGAACCAGGGAGGCGGAGATTGCAGTGAGTCGAGACCGCGCCATTGCACTCCAGCCTGGGTGACAGAGCAAGACTCTGTCTCAAAAAAAAAAAAAAAAAGTTTATCAAGTGCACCAAAATCATCCAAGAGAGATATGTGTTCTCTGTATTCTGAATTTATGAATGTAATATTTAGTCACAGTTATGACTCATTCTATTAAAAAGACTTGCTTTGAATTTGTTAAATGAAGATCTTCACCATTTTAGAAAAAATCAATGACAAGACTACACCCAGTTAGCCATGACCACTGTAAAACTTTGCCGATAAGACATAAGCATTGTTCTGTACTACAACAGCCTTGTTCTTTTTCCAAGCAAGCTTGACTCAAAATTCAAAATCAAAAAAGCCCAACATTTTTAAATATGATGGCCTTTTCTTTTCCTTTGATCCATAACTAAAGATAATGCATTCCTTATAACTGATTTTATTAAACAAAAGTATAGTTATATACAGACAATTGAATTAATTTCCCAATGTAATTATTTTTAGGGATGTTATTATATGTGTTAATTTTAAACATGAATCAAATGAATTTTTAAAAAATTTTAAATAATTTTTTTTATTGTTGAGTATTCAAAATCTGAGCAAGTCTGGAAGCATATAATTATAGAGATGCATATATATGTATGTATATGAAAAGACACATTTTGTAAAAGCTCAAAACTCTTTAAACTGGCTATTATATAAATTTAATTTAAATTTTTAAAATGTACACAAATTTATAGTAATAATTAAACTAATCTGAAGATAAACCTTTATGAAAATTTTTTATTGAAGCTATGGAAATTAAATACATTCTAAAGCTCCAATTACCTGTAAACTAATTATGAACTGACCTTTTAAACAAACCAACATTTTAGCACTGAATTTTATTTTTTTACACAACATCATTTGGAATTGAGTGGCTTCATGCACATCACTATTTTGCCTATTTCGCAGAAGTCCAGAAGCTTTTCTGCTAGGTCAATCTGCTAAGAGCATGCCTGGCCAGGAAGCAATTTTTGGTATGGAACAAACTTGATTCAGTAAGTGAAACAAGGATGATACTTTCAGAAGCAGCTAAGTCCAGACTCATCCAAAGGAATTAATGCCAATCATGGTTGCAGAAAGGGCAAAGTGGCAGTGCAGTGTTTACAATGATTTCTTAGGTGAGATGTGATAAGAAGTTGGCGTTTCACCATATATTCTACATGTTATTATAATTCACTTTGAGGGGTAATAACTGACAAGATTTTCTTTGGTTGCATAATCAAAAATTGTTCAATGTCTGAGAGTCGCAAGAGAGATGAGGGAGAAATTATCATTTCATCTATGCATTCTAGATCATTCATTCCCATCTTTATTTCTGAAACATGATTCCTACAATTTGAAGACTTTTAAAGAATCTGCATACCTTTTGTATAGTTTTCCTATAAAACACTTAAAAAGTTTAAGCATTTGATTTTGAATACATTTTTTAAAAATATAATAAGGCTCTTTTTAAAGAAGATCTAGATTCACTTGTAAATCCAAAGATTTAAATATTTTGGGATATGTTTATTAATCTCAATACACACACGCTTTTTAAAGTTTCTTAATTAATGGTGACCTGCTTTAGGTATATCAAAATATTTAAAAACCTCTAAGAATATAATTATTTCTTTTAACAAAGTTACAGGAAATAAGAGTTGAAGTTAATGATAGATTAGCATTTTAGGCCAAGATGAGGATCATTTCTATGTTACATTTCCTAACATGACATAGACTGTAATACTGATTCTTGGTCAAATTTAATCACCTAACTGAAGTACTGTATATATCAATTAATTTCACATCCATTGCATGATCTTTAGACAGTAGGAGTTATTGCAGGTCACTTTCCTGATGGTCGGATACTTCAGGCAATAAAGACTCAGGAGGCATCTTAGAGAAAGGACCATTAGGAAGCAACTTTATTAAATTTAACATTTTACCTCATAGTATATATTCTCTGTATGTCAGTCTTGCCCTCCTTTGGACACTAACAAACAATATCTTTAATGGAGTATTTTTTTATACCTTTCTGCTTTTTATTTTTAATCCACTGCCCTAAACTCCCTAAGTCTTATCTATATCTGTCCATAATCATGTCATAAATTGCTGTTTATGATATTCATTAAGCACGTATAAGCAATTTTTATTTAAACAAAAGAGACATTCTGTGGTATTAAAATGTGTAATGACATAATGAAAACAAGAAGCTATATTTTTGAAAGATGAGAAAAAAACAAAAAGAATCCAGAGAGCTACAAATAAGCTAAATGTTATGTAATTATTTTTTATTTATTATACACTTTTCAAAGTGTTTATAGCCTCCTTGTTTAACCTATCTATATAAGTTCATCCAAATCTACTAGTCAGATTGTTGGGGAAAGGGAAAATGGTACTCATAACTCATCATTGGATTGCTGTTCAAATTTCAGAAAATTGTTCCTTGTCTTTCATTGCCTAAAATCTCTGTGTAAAGGAAAGAATAAGATGCACTTTTTGTAATTTAGCATTTCCATTATTTTTTTTATTTCAACGTTGACATGTTATCTTTTTGAGGGATTCATCTTGACATGCCTGTCAGCTTGCCTTTTCCATTTTTAATAGGGTGAATAATAGGTGATAAAGGTTGATTAGAAATGAACTTGGAAATGCATTTTATTAAGATTTTTTGCTTCCATTTATACATAAGCATGCAATCTAAATTTTTTTCCTGAAGAAGTCTCATGAAAGAAATATATTTCCTTTAGAATTTTAAATATACTTTAAACTTTGTCACATTTGATCAAATATAGAATGATCATGAAAGTAAGATGGTCTTCCTTTTAAAAATAATACATATTGAAAACTGTAAAATTATTCTCTGTTTAACATTTCTTCCTTTACAATTAGGAAATTGATTTTGCCTTTGAGGTAAATGTCTTAATTTCGACTGTTCTCATATAACAACCTGGGTGTTTATAAGCCCTGAAGACTCATTCTATTACATGACTTTAGACTTTAGAATATATCATAATTTATAATTTACTTATAATTCTTGTGTATTTATTAATAAAACCCTATGTGTTTATTGATAAAATATTTAAATTGTCTTAAGAACAGAATTTTTTAAGTATATCAATGAAATTCATTTCCCCCTCCTATAAGGCTTCTATCTAATCTTCTTATTGAAACAGTCTTTGTTACTTCTGGAAGCCAAGTCTATGTGATGTCTTCCTTAGTACCTAAGTGGAAAACAGCAATCCAGTTGGTAAGGGCTGAATGTCAACTCTACAAGAAATGTTTATTCTGGTATAAATCAAACAGTGGAACTCCACTCCTACTACCAGAGAATGAGGAATAACATGGTCCTAAATTTGGAGTTAGGTACTGTAGAGGCTAAGTGTATTGTACAAGAAAATAAAAGACATAGGGAGAATGTTCTTGTTCCTGAGAGAAAAGGGCAGCAATGAGAAAGATGATAATAGAATGATGGTAGGAGGAGGAGAGAGCAGAAAAATGAGCAAACGAAAGAACTTATTAAAACAACAGAGTGTTGGAAGTTCTGGCCAGGGCAATCAGGCAGGAGAAAGAAATAAAGGATATTCAATTAGGAAAAGAGGAAGTCAAATTGTCCCTGTTTACAGATGACATGATTGTTCATTTAGAAAACCCCATCATCTCAGCCCAAAATCTCCTTAAGCTGATAAGCAACTTCAGCAAAGTCTCGGGATGCAAAATCAATGTGCAAAAATCACAAGCATTCCTATACACCAATAACAGACAAACAGAGAGACAAATCATGAGTGAACTCCCATTCACAACTGCTTCAAAGAAAATAAAATATCTAGGAATCCAACTTACAAGGGATGTCAAGGGATGTGAAGGACCACTTCAAGGAGAATTACAAACCACTGCTCAACGAAATAAAAGAGGACACAAACAAATGGAAGAACATTCCATGCTCATGGATAGGAAGAATCAATATCGTGAAAATGGCCATACTGCCTGAGGTAATTTATAGATTCAATGCTATCCCCATCAAGCTACCAATGACTTTATTCACAGAAATGAAAAAAAAAAACCTACTTTAAAGTTCATATGGAACCAAAAAAGAGCCCGCATTGCCAAGACAATCCTAAGCCAAAAGAACAAACCTGGAGGCATCACACTACCTGACTTCAAACTATACTGTGAGGCTACAGTAACCAAAACAGCATGGTACTGGTACCAAAACAGATATATAGACCAATGGAACATAACAGAGCCCTCAGAAATAATACCACACATCTACAACCATCTGATCCTTGACAAACCTGACAAAAACAAGAAATGGGGAAGGAGTCCCTGCTTAATAAATGCTACTGGGAAAACTGGCTAGCCATATGTAGAAAACTGAAACTGGATCCCTTCCTTACACCTTATACAAAAATTAATTCAAGATGGATTAAAGACTTACATGTTAGACCTAAAACCATAAAAACCCTAGAAGAAAACCTAGGCAATACCATTCAGGACATAGGCATGGTCAAGGTCTTCATGTCTAAAACACCAGAAGCAGCAGCAACAAAAGCCAAAATTGAGAAATGGGATCTAATTAAACTAAAGAGCTTCTGCACAGCAAGAGAAACTACCATCAGAGTGAACAGACAGCCTACAGAATGGGAGAAAACTTTTGCTATCTACCCATCTGACAAAGGGCTAATATCCAGAATCTACAAAGAACTTAAACAAATTTAAAAGAAAAAATCAAACAACCCGATCAAAAAGTGGGTGAAGGATATGAACAGACACCTCTCAAAAGAAGCATTTATGCAGCCAACAGACACATGAAAAAATGCTCATCATCACTGGTCATCAGAGAAACACAAATCAAAACCACAATGAGATACCATCTCACACCAGTTAGAATGGCAATCATTAAAAAGTCAGGAAACAACAGGTGCTGGAGAGGATGTGGAGAAATAGGAACACTTTTACACTGTTGGTGGGACTGTAAACTAGTTCAACCATTGTGGAAGACAGTGTGGCGATTCTTCAAGGATCTAGAAGTAGAAATACCATTTGACCCAGCCATCCCATTACTGGGTATATACTCAAAGGATTATAAATCATGCTGCTACAAAGACACAAGTACACCTATGTTTATTGCGGCACTATTCACAATAGCAAAGACTTGGAACCAACCCAAATGTCCATCGATGATAGACTGGATTGAGAAAATGTGGCACATATACACCATGGAATACTATACAGCCATAAAAAAGGATGATGAGTTCATGTCCTTTGTAGGGACATGGATGAAGCTGGAAACCATCATTCTGAGGAAACTATCGCAAGGACAGAAAACCAAACACCGCATGTTCTCACTCATAGGTGGGAACTGAACAATGAGAACACTTGTACACAGGGTGGGGATCATCACACACCGGGGCCTGCCGTGGGGTGGGGGGAGGGGGAGGGATAGCATTAGGAGATATACCTAATGTAAATGATGAGTTAATGGGTGTAGCACACCAACATGGCACATGTATACCTATGTAACAAAGCTGCACATTGTGCACATGTACCCAAGAACATAAAGTATAATAAAGAGACCATTTTTAATAGAGATAACTAATATTAAAACTGAGGTTTGTACTGTTGCAATATAATTCCATTGTGTCCCCCATATAATGTTCAACAGAGTGCAGAAGAAGGATAGAGAAATAGAACAAAATATAAATTCATAAAGAAATTCTAGGCCAGGCGTGGTGGCTCACTCCTGTAATCCCAAAACTCTGGGAGGCCAAGGTGGGTGGATCACCTGAGGTCAGGAGTTTGAAACCAGCCTGGACAACATGGTGAAACCCTACTCTACTAAAAATACAAAACATAGCTGGGCATGGTGGTGTGTGCCTGTAATCCCAGCTATTCAGGAGGCTGAGACAGAAGAATCACTTGAACCTGGGCGGCAGAGGTTGTAGTGAACCGAGATCGCGCCACTGCACTTCAGTCTGGGTGACAGAGTGAGACTTCAACTCAAAAAAATAAAAAAAAAGAAAGAAAGGAATTCTAAAGAAGTTCTACTGCAGGAGTGCGGAGACTTAGGCACAAAGTTTCAGGTCTATCAAGACTTAATAGGCTGACTGATAGCAACTAACATCTAAATTATAAAGAAATAATTTGAATCTCTATAGGTCAAGAGGCATAGATATAATTGACTGTATTTGATTTTAATTTAATTCATATGAGAAGAAGATACTTAAGTGTTACCTCTGCCGCTACTTTCCTATGATTTCACTTTCATAGGTTAAGAGGCAGAAATCTGTAGAGGTAGGACCTGGGAGTGTAGGAGAAATTTCTAGTGCCCATTCACATCTAAGTCTTCTCCCTTGTGGATACAAGAGAGAACTATACTCTCTTGGGCCTTACAGACAGTCTCATCTGTGACAAGTGATCTGCTCTGGCCAATGGGCTGTGAGAGGTAGTTGTGTGCTTCAGCTAAGAGTAGAAGCATTTAATTGCTGAGTGAGATCTTCAGCTCTGTCTTTCCTGCAGTGGACTCTGCAGAAACAAACAAACAAAGATGAATTTTTGTTCTCTTACACCACTAATATTTTAGGGTGTTTGTTATAATGACATATTTCAGCTTCTTCTATTACAAAAATAATTATCCCAGAAGTTGGGAGTTTCTGAAACATAAAACATAAAATATGTATTCTTGCTTTATTGATAGGCTGAGGAAGCCAGTAATTATTGTAATCTTGAAAGATGGTCATCTGTCTATTGCTTGCAGTAAGGAAGCATGGTTTAGAAAATAGATCATGAATCTTATAAATCTTCAGTATTAGGAAGAGTTTGAAAAACCGAACGCTAGTCTTCTGAGTTGATTGCTGTTACCTGCTTTTGACAGAATGTTACTAAAAACCTGGTAACCTCAGATAAGAATTGGCAAATTTGCAGACTCAAATGAAAGAAAATGGAGAGATTCAAGAAATTTCAGAATTTGCAAAGTGGGGCAAATCAATTACTCTGAGATCACAAATACTAGGAAATATAATTGAGAAAGTATTTTAAGTGACAATGGTAATTAAAACTCTGCTTTCTAATAAAGAGAAAAATAAAGATATGGCTTTTATATCTACACTAAAACTTTCAAAAAAATTAAGGAGACTCAGAATAAAATTAACTTAGAGAAAATATTCATCGAGTTTCAATATTTATTAAATAAGAAGTCTACTAAGTTTTTGAAAGCGCCCAGTAGCCAAACAAACTATAAGACTGAACTAAAACTGTCTGGACTTAAAGTTTGATCACCTAAACTTTTTTTTTTTTTTTTCTGAAACAGGGTCTCACTCTGTTACTCAGGCTGGAGTGCAGTGACATGAACATGCTCACTGCAGCCTTGATCTCCCTGGCTCAAGCGTACCTGGGCCCACCACAGCATTCTTCAACCTTATCTGAAAACTCAAGTGTACACCACCATGCTTGGCTAATTTTTTTCTTTTTCTTTTTGTAGAGACAGGGTATCCCTAATGTTGCCTAGGCTGGTATTGAACTCCTGGGTTCAAGCGATCCTCCCTCCTTGGCCTCCCCAAATGTTGGGATTACAGGCATGAACCATCATGTCCGGCCACTGCCCAAACTTCTAAGGGTAGGAACAGTTTGAGAAAGTTGCTCAACCCCAGAGTACATGTTCTTGATCCTCAACTTGAAGATGTGGCAAAAAAGTATAATGGAAAAGGAAAATATCAGAGGAAGATAATAGTCACAGACAAAAATAGACAAGGGAGTTAATCACAGAGGAATTGTGATTGTTTTGAGTAAGCTCAACCTGCAATATCTGACTTTTTCCACATCCTAATCCCCACCCTAGTCACTGAATTCCTGCAGAGTAAAAGTGAAGCTATCTAGATAATTGATCATGAATATTAGAGTTTTCGTAAAGGTGAGCCCTTTGAAAAAGGACGAAAGGGGTTATGGAGATTGAGGGCAAAGAGGGGAAGGGCAGAAAAAAAGCAGAAAAGTTGTGACAAGTTGAGTGGCTTCAAGATCATAGATAAAACAAAACAAAACTAAAACTAAAACAGTGGAGAAGTTTGGCTTGTGTTGAGTGCAATTAAAGAAAATTCCTGGAACCCTAATTCCATGAGCACTCTGTATGGTACAGAACTTCTACATTTCTTATGGATTCTCAGTGGATGTAATATGAATTTTCAATATACATTATAGTTTGTTTTCCAATGTAAGGACAAAATATTTGTGTAACAAAAAGAAAGAAGAGCAGTAGAAAGGCATTCTGTGATGTGATTTGGAAATTTAAGAAGACAAGATTAGATGAAAAATGAAGCTGCTGATTTGAAATAATGAGACATAATTTAAAGTTAGTTTTAGTTTTAAAGTTACGAAGCTTATGGAATGGTGGGGAAAATGACTATTTACATTTGTTTTATCTCCTCATACTCTATAGTTGAGCATAGAAGCCACATTCATATTCCAGACTTTCACAAGTGGCCCATTTCCTCACTTATTATTCTAGCTTCCCACTCTCTTTTTCAATCTAGCCATCTACTTTGACTAAACTCTTATTTCTATTTCCTCCACTAAGCCCCACCAAGATTCATGCTAGCTTTGATATGCAAAAATACTATCTTAAAATTAAGAAATAAAATTGCACTTAAAATAATGCCATTTAATTTACATGCACAAAGATTTGCCTCCTGCTGTTTATTTTGTAATAGTCAAATTTTGAATTGTTCAACTTGTTCCAATGTATTCAATCTACAAAATAACAAGGTTTCCATAACAAACAGTGCTTATCTAAATAGCACTTAATGTATGCACTGTAATTCTCTATGTTCTTCTGAGTCTTCCATTAAGTTTGAAGACAGGAACTAATTTGTCTTCCTCTCTCAAGAGTCTAGCCCAGGACCTGGCAAATTACAGTCACTTGGTAAGTTTTTGAGATTTTTTAATGTAATGAATCCTTAAATTTACAGATATGATATCTGTCATTTAACTTTGGTTGGGCTCCAGAACACAACTTCAGTCAGCCATCTTGTTCATTATACCTAACCGTGTTCATTAAAAAAGAAAAGAAATCCATTTAAAATGTTTAAAAGACAATTAGCAATGTATATTCTATTGATAATAGATACTTTGATATTAAAATGCATATACTTTGATAAACTGAAGATTGGTTTACTAATCTGAGTCAGTAAATTTTAAAAAGACTACAATTAACCCTTACTAGCTATTCATTGCAATAATTTCTGTATTCAGTGTTAGGATATTTTCAAACCAATATACTATTAAATATTTTCCTCTAAGATAATTGAAAACAACTCTCAGTTAAATTAAAAGTCAAGGCAAAAATAAATGTTTGGCAGGGAGTGAGTTGTTAAACCAGAACTAGTTATGATGTCCATCAGCTCACTTTCCCATTCAGTTAGTGGGCTTTTAGTGCTTTTAGTTACTGTGAACTGCTAATTTAATATCTATTTATAAGAGAAACGTTAGCATTAGCATGTGTATTTTTTAAGAAGTTAATAAGAAATGAACTAGACTGGATACTTATAAAAACTTTCTATTTTCAATATGTGACTAATTCTATAGGTAATATCTGAACCTATCATTATTAATCAACTAATAAAATATTTTGCTTGATTATGAGATGCAGTTAAGGAAACACAGATACCAAATATTTTACATTTTTGTCTCCTTCTTGGTGATTGGGCAGCCATAAAACAAAGAAAACTGGGACCATTACTTAGAAATTAAATTTATCACAAAGAGGGCAAAATGCAGACAGAATGATAAACAACTTATTTCAAGTATGGTTCAGACTAGAATACAATTATCTCTAGCCCTAGAAAGCAAGGAATTGATTTAGAAGCTGTGCAGCAAATAAAATTGTGTAGAAAAGCAAGCCTCAAAGCTTTAAAAGAATTTTAAGGTAGGCTTAGAGAATACTGAGTGTGGTAGATATGAATACTTACCTACATAATATACATTTTAATGTGCCTTAATAATAAAATCACATTTTTATTTGGAGTATCTGTTTGCCCAGTGAAATAATACTTGCCTCCCCAGATTATCTTTCAGCTAGATTATCCATGTGATACATTTTTGGATTCTGTGACACAAGAAATTTCCCTTCAGCCTTCACTTTCCATTTGATTTCCACTTTGCCTATGGATAGAATGCTTAGATATGAAGCAGCCATCTTTTGCCCAACCTAACAGAGGCCCCAGTTGACAGTTCTTATAAACCACCAGATTTGTGAGTAGAAAGATCTTCAGATACTTTTAACAGTCTTTGAGACTTCCAGCTGAGGCTAGAGATACTGCAAAGCAGAGATAAGCCCGACTTTCTATGCCCTGTCTGATTTCCTGACCCACAGAAGGCATGATCAGAAACCACTGATGTTTTGCACAATGAAGTTTTGGAATAACGTCTTATGCAGCCACAGCAACTGGAACAATAAGTCATTGAATTAAATATTGGGTAAATAGAAATAATATAGGTTCAGGAGAAATCAATAAACAAATTCCAAATATTTAATATGTCTTTAGAAAACTTGTTAAGAAGAAAAATTCTCATCCAGATTAAACTACATTTGAAAGTTTTGTCTTAGTACATTAGAAACAGTTATTGGAGGCATAGTTAAATTTGTTGAAACTACATGATATTATCTAGATTTAAAACCTACTATTTTGGAAAAGAGCCTGATTTCATTAAATTAAAAAGTGTTTCCAGGTAGTCACTCATTTGAACACACCATTTTGGGAACAAAAAAGAAAACCTGCAGAATTGTGTAAACATATAAAACCTATGAAACAAGTTTTTACAAATACCTTCCCAGTATCATTGGGAAATATTTGAGGGAAAAATGATTTTTGTTACACAATCAGTTTGAGAATAAATCTCCATATGAGATCTTATTAATTAACTTGCCAAGTAAGATGGATAAAGAAGTAGCATTTTCATAAGCTTTGAAGAATGTAGTTTTGCTAAATTGCATATTACCACCAATTAAGAATCATACAGAAAAGAAACCTAAGATAAGAAATGGTGTTCCTGGGTAGGTACTTCCTCCCTGAGGAGATCGCCTGTTATTGTTTTGCCCTCATTTTTCCTATGAGAACCTGTTCCCTCTAGTTAGTAGTCAAGTGCATCTTCCAAAGATGTTTCCGTACCATCTCTACTATATAATCATGTAAAAACCCACATGAAGTAAATTTGAAAGTTTTTAACCCCAAAAGGAGAGGGAGAAAAATCTTATTTCCTAAATAAGGATAAACATAAACCTTTTCTAAAAAATCACTTAAATCAGTAGATTATTTGATTTACTTTTTCACTAAAAAAAACTAAATAAAACAACGAAAACAACACATTGTGAAAAGAAATGAAGAATAAATCAATTAAGCATGCTAGTTTTAAATAAATATTTGAATGATAGGGATACACAAAAAAATTGAGTATGAAAAAGTCAAAATTATGTCTCTAATTTGAACACCAAATGTGGCTGGCATTAATGATCAATAAGGACCACTTTTATAATACTGATAAGAAAGGATACAAAAATTAAGTGATAATCACATTGGACTTATATATAAAAAACTAATAACTATATAAATTTAATTTTACAAAAGATTTTAACTTGAATCATGTATTCTCTGCTTAGTAATGCTTTCAACTCATGAGTAATGAACATAATAAAGTTTAGAAATTTAAGACTGAAATGTTTGTCCCCTGCTGTGTCTTAACTATTAGAGTTACAATCTATTAAAGGGGAAAAAAAGAAAACAGAACAATAATCTAACCTCCTGATGAAAGGTAACTTCTAGTTTTCTGTATTTCCTACAAATGAACATTACCAGGGAATCTCAAACATATCTTATTTCTAATGCCATAATCTATATTTAAATGGTGACACTAAGCAACACGGAAAAGCAGATTGCATTTGGTAAGGCAGTATTAAAATATTAATCTAGGAACACAAGTTAAAATTTCACTGGATTAGTGATTCTTATCTTTGTAGTAACTTTCAGAGGCACATAAAAAAGGAAAGAATCACTCAGTAACTTTGACTTCTATAACTTTAAATTTTATTAGTTTTAACTCACATATAAGTCAGAATCACTGAGAATTTCTTGAAAATATATCATTATGTGGAGAAATGCTTGTTGAAATGGAAATCGGTGCACTTTTATACTGTTGATGCTGGAACAAAGTTTTCTGTTTTCCTTTTCAGAAAAGCCAAACCAAAAAGTCAGAATAATACAAAAATTAGAGATAATGAAATTACCACAATAAGGTAAAGCTAAATGTTATTACTTTCTGTCTCCAAAACACTATTATAAATAAAGGAATAATATATTTGAAACTTTAGGCAGAAATAAAAAAGCCAAATAACTTCAACAACCAGGATTTAGGAAATTTGACTGGCAAGATTCCCAATGACAATTTACAGAAAATAAGAGATAAAAACTTTCTTTCATTCACTGTGAAGTGATTCGGACAAATGATCCAATACTATTTAATGTGTACAGAAAACAATGAGCCAAAAAGTTTAGCTGTAGTGAAAATTAACGAAGTGACTATTGGCTCTTTCCACCCATATTTCAGTGTTATTTATTTCAACTCTGGCATTCTTTTGTTCATCGTCATACTTGATATGAGCTGATCAACATGATGGTATATGGAATATACGCAATTTGAAAGTCTATGCCATATATTCTTAAAAATCTGAGATTCACTTGGACAAACTTATAAGGAATAAAACTGGAAGTTTTGCATTGGACATAATTGGTGTCTGAAGATACTCTAGGCACTTTGGTGAAGAGTCTTGTGTGTCCTTAGGATTTTGATTGGAATGGCTAACCCAGAAAGATTTAGAAGAATTATTCAGGTAGAAAATAAAATGAGTCAACTCAATGGGAAAAAATACCCACCTGTAAAAGACATTGGTTAGGCACAATTTTAAAAGTATATCTATATATACTTTTCAGAGGCACCTAAAAGTATACTTTAAAAGTATATATATATATATATTTTTAAAGTATATATATATATATATATATATATATATACTTTTAAAATATACTTTTAGGTGCCTCTGAAAGTTACTACAAAGATAAGAATCTCTATTTCCAAATATATATATATATATATTTGTTTGTTTGTTTGTTTGTTTTTGCTCTGTTGCCCACACGGGAGTGCAATGGCACAATCTCGCTCACTGCAGCCTCCACCTCCTGGGTTCAGGCAATTCTCCTGCCTTGGCCTCCTGAGTAGCTGGGATTACAGGTGCCTGCCACTGAGCCTGGCTAATATTTCGTTTGTATTTTTGGTAGAGATGAGGTTTCACCATGTTGGCCAGGCTGGTCTCAAACTCTTGACCTCAGGTGATCCACCTGCCTCAGCCTCCCAAAGTGCTAGGATTACAGGCATGAGCCACCGTGCCTGGCCTTAAAAGTGTATTTCTTAGTCAAATTCATTTTCATGAACTTAAAATGGAGGGATTAGTGAATTATTTGATTAATTAATGAATTTATTCTGTCTTTTGTCTTATTAAATAGTTTACTTTTGAGACTTCTGGTTTCTGGCCCAGCATGAAAGGAGCTTAGAAGTACAACCTAAAAAAAAAAAAAAAAAAAAAAAAAAAAGTTAAACAAAGTGAAAACTCAACAACTCCTTCTCTTTTTGAAGTGAGATCACAGGGCAAGGCCCTACTCCCAAAATTGGAGAGACAGGCAAATATAGAGAATCACATATTTCTAGAGCTGAAACATCTGTGAGAATCAGTGCTAGGTTAGGAATAAGTGATGAAATGATGGAGGCTCAGTGTAGACAATTTTGAGAGTTAAAAATTCCAGGGGACCCAGTCATAGGGAGGCCCTCACACTTGTGTAGGTGTTACTTCCAGGAGCTCTACCAGGTGCTCACAGTGAATATCTGAGAAAAATTCCTTCCCACCTCAGGCAAGGAGAGGGCAACAGTGACCATTTTGAAATATACTGGGCCAGAAACCAGAAGTCAACATGAGATATGAAGAAGACAAGTATCTAAAACATATAATTCTGCCTCTAACTCCTAAAAATCTTATGTCTTTCTCACACTGCAAAATATAATTATCCTGTGCCAACAGTCTTTAAAAAGCTTTAACTCATTCCAGCATCAAATATAAAGTTCTAAGTCTCATCTGAGACTCATCTCCTTCCACTTATGAGCCTGTAAAATTAAAACAAATTATTTACTTTCAAGATACAATGGGGGTATAGGCATTGGGTAGACATTCCAATTCCAAAAGGGAGAAGTCAGGAAAAAGAAAGAGGCTACAGTTTCCATGCAAGTCTGAAACACAATAGGTAGTCATTATATCTCAAAACTCCAAAATAATCTCCTTTTACTCCATGTCCCACATCCAGAGCACACTGATACAAGGGGTGGACTTCCAAGGCCTTGGATGACTCTGCCCCTGTGGCACTGCAGGGAGCAGTCCCTGTGGCTGCTTTTACAAGTTGGAGTTGAGCAACTGTGACTTTTCTAGGCACAGAATGCAAGCTCTTGGTGGATCTACCATTATAGTGTCTGGAAGGTGGCAGCCCTATTCCCACAGCTCCAATAGGCAGTGCCCTGGTATGGACTCTATGTGGGGGCTCCACCTCCACATTCCCCTCCTCACTGCACTAGTAGAGCTTCTCTGCAGAGGCTCTGCCCCTACAGCAATCTTTGTGTCTGGGCACCCAGGCTTTCTCATGCATCCTCCAAAATCTAGGGAGAAGCTGCCAACTCTCCTTCCCTTTTGCAATCTGCATGCCTGTAGGCTTAACACCATGCAGACATTACCAAGGCTTATGGCTTGCACCTTCCAGAGCTGTGGCCTGAGCTATATCTGGGGCCCTTTGACCTGAGGCTGCAGTCAAAGTAGCCTGGATTCAGGGAGCACTGTCCCAAGGCTGCACTGGGCAGCAGATCCCTGGGCCTAGCCTCGGAAACCATTCTTTCCTCCTAGACCTCTGAGCCTGTGATAAGAGGGGCTGCCTCAAAGATCTCTGAAATGCCTTTGAGGCCTCTATTTCATTGTCTTGGAGATTAGCACTGTAATCCCTTTTAGTCATGCTAATCTCTCAAGCAAGTGGTTTCTCCACAGCCTGCTTGGATTCTTCACCAGAAAATGGGCTTTTCTTTTCTACAACATGGCTAGGCTGTAACTTTTCCAAAGTTTTACACTCTAGGCAACATCTTGAATACTTTGCTGCTTAGAAATTTCTTCTGCCAGATACCCTAGGTCATCACTTTTAAATTCAAACTTTCTCAGATCCATAAGGCATGAATACAATGAAGCGAAGCTCTTGCTAAGGCATAACATGTGTGGCCTTTGTTCCAGTTCCAATACATTAATTTTCATCTGAGACCTCATCAGCCTGAACTTCATTGTCTGTATCACTATCAGTATTTTGGTCAAAACCATTTAACTAGTCTCAAAAGATCCAAACTTTCCCTCATCTTTCTGTCTTCTGAGAACTCCAAGCTCTTTCAACATCTGCCTGCTGCCCAGTTCCAAATCTGCTTCCACATTTTCAGTTATCTGTATAGAAACTTTCCACACCCAGTATCAATTTCCTGTATTAGGCCATTCTTACAGTTCTATAAAGAAATAACAGAGGCTGTGTGATCTGTAAAGAAAAGAGGTTTAATTGGCTTACTGCTCTGTAGGCTGTAACAGCATGACTTCAGTATTTGCTTCTGGGAAAGGCCTCAGGAACCTTACAATCATGGCAGAACACAAAGAGAGAATGGACACATCACATAGTGAGAGTGGAAGACAGAGAGGGAGCATGGAGGTGCCACACACTTTTAAACAATGAGATCTTTTATGAACTCATTCATCACCAAGGGGATGGCACTAAGCCATTCATGAGATATCTGCACACATGATTTAAGCATCTCCACCAGGACCCACCTCTAACAATGGGAATTATATTTCAACATGAGATTTGGAGGGAACAAATATCCAAACTGTATTAGTCACGGTTCTCTAGAAGTACAACACTAATAGGATAGATGTATATGTAAAGAGGAGTTTATTAAGGAGTACTGACTCACCTGATCACAAGGTGAACTGCCACAATAGGTCATCTGCAAGCTGAGGAACAAGGAAGCTAGTCTGAGTCTCAAAACCACAAAAGTAGGGAAGCTGACAGTGCAGCCTGCAGTCTGTGGCTAAAGACCCAAGAGCCCCTGGCAAACCACTGGTGTATGTACAAGAGTCCAAAAGCTTAAGAACTTGGAGTTCAATATTTGAGGGCAGGAAACATCCACCACAGGAGAAAGATGAAGGCCAGAAGACTCAGCAAGTCTGCTTTTTTGATCTTCTTCTGCTCACTTTATTCTAGCTGCACTGGCAGCTAATTAGATGGTGCCCACCCCGATTGAGAGTGGGTCTGCCTCTCACAGTCCACTCACTTAAATGTTAGTCTCCTTTGGCAACACCCTCACGGACACATGAAGGAACGATACATTGCATCTTTCAATTCAATCAACTTGACACTCAATATTAATCATCACAAGTCCACCCATTGTCAACTTAAGCCCATACACATCTCCTGAAATCATACATAATCTTCAAATAAAGACAATAATAAGGTCATAATTATGCCTAACATAATACAGCTTTCCTTTGTACTACTGGAAGCACACCGATCCTTAACTTAAATGCTATTACATAAAGTTAACAACATTAAAATGCTGATATGAAGTAAATAAATCTTATGTCACATGATAAAGAAAAAAAGGAAATAAAATAAAGATATTCTCTTAGTACAAGTGTATAAATGCACAAACACGTTCTTAACAAAATAAGGAGGAAATACTCATGACAATTACAGTCCTCATTTCTGCAACTGGTTACATGGTTGTAGCTGGAATTGATGACTACCTTCTTCTACTACACATTCTGTATTCCCTTTGCCTACAGCAAACACCTTCTCAGCTGGTCATGGTTTTTTACCTGGTGGGGTGACCCAAACCTTCATTCCTGAAGGGTCTGGCCATTTGTAATTCTGCGTGGGTTGAGTTGTTGTAGTTTCTCATTGACCTTAATCACAGGACGTGGTAATACTAAGAGATGTCCTAAGGGATCGCCTGTATTTCATACATACTCTTCCTTACCTCCATTGTGGAGTAGTAGATTCATTTCATCTTGATAGTCTGGGTCAATCACCTCATCCAACGCTGTAACTCTCTTCTTAGCCTGTTGACTTAGAGATAAGAGGAGCCCAAAGTGGCCAAGTGGCAATCTTAACTTCCAGTTAAATGGAATCATTGTTGTGTCTACTGGTGGCAGCATTCTTCCCTCTTGAACTAAGACTCTAGGTAAGTAGAATGTAATGTTGTGGGAACAGGAAGCAAAAATTTTGCTAGTGGGTCACTAGGGGTGATGATGAGTGGTGTCACTTCCACTTCCACCCCTTGATTCCTTGATCCATGGGAGAAACAGTACCATATATTGGACACTGATTCAGAGAATATATGGCCTTCTGGAGAACTTAATCTCAGTCCTGCTAACTATTGTCACCTAGTTGGCATTGTAATTTTAACTTCAAAAGGCCATTCCACCAATCTATCAATCCAGCTGCTTCAAGATGATGGGGAACATGGTAAGACCAGGGAATTCCATGAGCATGAGCCCACCACTGCACTTCTTTAGCCGTAATGTGAGTGCCTTGGTCAGAGGCAATGCTATGTGGAATACCAATGACAGTGGATAAGGCATTCTGTGCATCCACGGATGATAGTCTTGGCAGAAGCATTGCATGCGGGATAGGCAAAACCATATCCAGAGTAAGTGTCTATTCCAGTGAGAACAAACCTCTGCCCTTTCCATGATGGAAGTGGTCAAATATAACCAACCTGCCAGCAAGTAGTTAGTTGATCACCCTGAGGAATGGTGTCATATTGAGGGCTCAGTGTTGGTTTCTGCTGCTGGCAAATTGGGCACTCAGAGGTGGTCGTAGCCAGGTCAGCTTGGTGAATGAAAGTCCATGTTGCTGAGCCCATGTGTAACCTCCATCCCTGCCACCATGGCTACTTTGATCATGAGCCCATTACGTGATGACAGGGTTGGCTGAGGAAAGAGGCTGAGTGGTGTCCAAAGAACAAATATTCTATCCACTTGATTATTAAAATCCTCCTCTGCTGAGGTCACTCTTTGGTGAGCACTCACATGAGATACAAACATCTTCACAGTTTTCGAACACTCAGAGAGGTCCGTTCATATAACTCTTCCCCAAATTTCTTTGTCACCAATTTTCAACTCATGGTTCTTCCACGTCCCTGACCATACAGCAAAACAATTAGCTCCAGTCCATGAATCAGTATATAACCGCATATCTGACCATTTCTCCTTCCAAGCAAAGTGTACAACCAGGTGCACTGCTCGAAGTTCTGCCCACTGAGAAGATTTTGCCTTGCCACTGTCCTACAGGAATGCCCTAGACAGGGGCTGTAGTGCTGCAGCTGTCCACTATCAGGTGGTGCCTGCAGATCATGCAGAGCCATCTGTAAACTAGGCCCTAGTCTTCTTTTCTCTGTCAGTTGATCATAGGGAATTCTCCATGAGGCCATCCATGCAGACTGGGGGGAGAAGGTATGGTAGCACGAGTGGGGACCATGGACATTTGAGCCACTTCCTCATGTAATTTACTAGTGCCCTCAAGACCTGCTCGAGCCAGATCATATGTATACCACTTCCATTGGATGATGGAATGCTGCTGTGCATGGCCAACTTTATGGCTAGGTGGGTCAGAAAGCACCCAGTTCATGACATGCAGTTCATGTCATATGCTGACTTGATGACCCATAGTCAAACGTTCCTTCCACCAAAGCCCAGTAACAAGTCAAGAGCTGTCTCACAAAAGGAGAGTAGTTATCTGCAGAAGATGGCAGGATCTTGCTCCAAAATCTTAGAGACCTCCACTGTGATTCACCTATGGGGGCCTGTCAAAGGCTCCAAATAGCATCCCTATCTGCCACTGACACATCAAGAACCATTGGATCTGCTGAGTTATATGGCCCAAGTGGCAGAGCAGCTTGCACTGCCACAGCAGAGGACCTGTTGCAGAGCCTTCTTCTGTTCTGGACCCCACTCGAAACTGGCATCCTTTTGGGTCACTTGATAAATGGGCTTTAATAACACACCCAAATGAGGAATATGCTGCCTCTAAAATCCAAATAGGTCCACTAGGCGTTGTGCCTCTTTCTTGGTTGTAGGAGGAGCCAAATGCAGCAATTTATCCTTCACCTTAGAAGGAATATCTTGACAGGTCCCACATCTCTGGACCCCCAGAATTTTACTGAGATAGAAGGTCCCTGAATTTCAGTTGGAATTATTTCCAATGCCCTGGCATGCAAATGTGTCACCAATAAGTCCAGTGTGTTTGCTACTTCTCACTTACTGGATCCAATCAGCATAATGTCATCAGTGTAATGAACCAGCGTGATATCTTGTGGAAAGGAAACGTGATCAAAATCTCTGCAAAAAAGATTATGACACAAAGCCAGAGAGTTGATATACCCCTAAGGTAGGACAGTGAAGGTATATTGCTGGCCTTGCCATCTGAAGGCAAATTGCTTCTGGTGGGCCTTATGGACAGGAATGAAGAAAAAAGCATTCACCAAATCAATGGCTATAAACCAGGTACCAGTAGATGTGTTAATTTGCTCAAGCGATGAATCCACATCTGGTACAGCAGCTACAATTGGAGTAACCACTTGGATTAGCTTACAATAATCCACTGTCATCCTCCAAGATCTGTCTTCTGCACAGGCCAAATAGGAGAGTTGAACAGGGATGTGGTGGGAATCACCACCTATGTGTCTTTCAAGTCCTTTATGGTGGCACTAATCTCTGCAATCCCTCCATAGATGTGATATTGCTTTTGATTTACTATTTTTCCAGGTCGAGGCAGTACTGACGGCTTCCATTTGGCTTTTTCCACAATAATAGCCATGACCCTACCAGTCATGGAGCCAATGTGGGGTTCTGCCCAGCTGCTAAGTATGTCTATGCTAATTATGCATTCTGGCACTGGAGGAAGTGACCACAGCATGAGCCCAGGGACCCACTGGCCCCAGTGTAAGTTGGACCTGAGTTGAAACTCAATTACCTGACTTCCAAAAGCCCCTACTTTAACTAGAGGACCACAATGATGTTTTGCATCCCTTAGAATCAAACGTCAGCTCAGAGTCAGTGTCCAGTAGTCCTTGAAAGGTCTGATTATTTCCCTTTCCCCAGTGCACAGTTACCCTGGTTAAGAGGCCAGATGTCTCCTTTGGGAAGGATGAGAGGAGGATTAACAGTATAAACTGTCGGTAGTGGGGTCCTTCCTCAAGGGGACCTAGCCTCCCTTTGTTACAGGAAAGCGGTCCCAATCCAGACCTCAAGAGAGGGTTCTTGAGTCTCATGCAAGAAAGAATTTAGGGTGAGTCCACAGTGCAAAGCAAAAGCAAATTTATTAAAAAAGTAAAGGAATAAAAGAATGGCCACTCCATAGAAAGAGCAGCCCTGAAGCCTGCTGGTTGCCCATTTTTATGGTTATTTCTTGACGATATGCTAAACAAGAGGTGGATTATTCATGCCTCCCGTTTTTAGACCATATAGGGTAACTTCTTGACATTGCCATGGCATTTGTAAAATGTCATGGCACTGGTGCTCCGGAGTGTAGCAGTGATGACGACCAGAGGTCACTCTTGTCACCATTTTGGTTTTGGTGGGTTTTGGCTGGCTCCTTTACTGCAAGCTGTTTTATCAGCAAGGTCTTTATGACCTTTACTTTGTGCTGACCTCATATCTCATCCTTTTCCTTCGAATGCCTTAACCATCTGGGAATGCTGCCCAGTATGTTTCAGTCTCATTTTACCCAGCGAATATTTAAGATGGAGTTACTTTGGTTCACACATCTCTGACACCTTCACACAAGGGGTTCTGGGTCTGTAAACTGTAAACTGATTCAAGTCTGGAAATTGATTGAGGGCCCATGATTCTCTATTTTTATAATTCAAATTAGTATTTTTTCCACTCGACCTAGAAGTTTTCTGCTTATACAAATTAGGTAAGAATGCAGTAGGCTTCCTATCTATTTCACTTCTAGAAACATCATGATTAATTTGCCAATGCCAGAGCTCTAGACAAAGAATCTACACCATTCACAAAAATTAATTCAAAAAAATGGGTGACTAAGAAAGCTAAACACACACACACAAAAAAAATATAAAAATGGACAAATGAGATCATATTAAGGCAAAAAGTTTCTGTACAGCAAAGGAAAAAAATCAACAAAGTGAAGAGACAACCCACAGGACAGACAACCCACAGAATGGGAGAAAATATTTACAAACTACCCATCTGACAAGGGATTAATAACCAGAATATATAAGAAGTTCAAACAACTCTATAGAAAAAAATTGAATCCGATCAGAAAATGGGCAAAAGAGTTGAATGGACATTTCTCAAAAGATGATGTACAAATGGCAACCAGGCATATGAAAAGGTGCTCAACATCATTAATCATCAAAGAAATGCAAATCAAAACTACAATGACATATTATCTCACCCCAGTTAAAATGGCTTTTATCCAAATGTCAGGCTCTAGCAAATGCTGGTGAGGACGTGGAGAAAGCGGAACCTTCATATACTCTTGGTCAGAATTTAAATTAGTACAACCACTATGGAGAACAGTTTGGAGGTTCTTCAGAAAGCTAAAAATAGAGGTACCATATGATCCAGCAATACCATTCCTGGATATATACCCAAAAGTAAAGAAATCAGTATATTGAAGAGATATCTGCACTCCATATTTGTTGCAGCACTGTTCACAATAGCCAAGATGTGGAAGCAACCTAAGTGTGTACCAACAGATAAATGGATAAATAAAATGTAGTACATATACATAATGGAGTACTATTCAGCCATAAAAAAGAATGAGATATTGTCATTTGCAACAACATGGATGAAAATGGAAGACATTATGTTAAATAAAATACCCCAGTCACAGAAAGACAAACATAGCATAGTTTCACTTATTTGTAGGAGATAAAAATCAAAACAACTGAACTCATGGAGATATAGAGTAAAAAGTTGGTTACCAAAGGCTACAAAGGGTGGGAAGATCAGTAGAGGTGGGGATGGTTAATGGGTTAAAAACAAAAAAAGAGTTAGAAAGAATAAGACCTAGTATTTGATAGCACAACAGTATGACTATAGTCAATAATGCACATTTTAAAGTAACTAAAAGAGTATAATTTGATTGTAACACAAAGCATAAATTCTTGAGGAGATGGATACCCAACTTTCCATGATTTGATTATTGCACATTGCATGCCTGTGCCAAAATATCTCATATAGCCCATAAATATATACACCTACTATGTGCCCACAAAAATTAAAGATTAAAACAAAACAAAAAAACCTACAAACCGTTCCTCTCTGAAATTTGTCACCTCCAAAGGGTTTGAATATCAACAAGGAATTAGCGTTTATTTTTAATTTAGCAAAAGTATCTTTTTAAAATGCTAACATCCAGTTTTGAGCTGAAAGTGATTGTTTAAAGTCAATTAATGTAATCCACCATGTCCACAGGTTAAGAGAAAAATCACATGACTATATCAATGGATGCAGAAAAAGCATTTGACAAAATCTAACACCAATTTACTATCATAACTAGGAATAGAAGGGAACTTCCTCAACTTGGAGAACATCTTCAAATTACCTACAGCTAGCATCGTATTTAATGGTGAAAACTTGAAGCTTTCCCACTAATATCAGGATCAAGGTATTTCCTCTCATCACTGTTTTTCAACATCATACTGGAATTCCTAACTAATTCAATAAGACCAAAAAGGAAAGTTATACTGATTGGGAAGGAAGAAATAAAGTTATCTTTTTCTCTCACATGACATGTACATGAATGTAAAAATTCAAAATAATCAACAAAAGACCTTCTGAAACTAATAAGTCATTATAGCAAGTTTACAAAATACATATTAATATATAAAAGCCAACCACTTTCCTATATGTCAGTAAAGGCCAAGTGCAAATTGAAATTAAAAACACTATACTATTTACATTAGCACCCAAAATATCTAATAATTTGATATAAATCTAAAAATACAGTATAAGATCTATATGAGGAAAACTACAAAATCTGATGAAAAATGGTAGAAGAAATAAATAGAAATTATTCCATGTTGAAGGATAGTAAGACTCAAAATTGTCCAGATGTCAGTGTTTTCCAACTATATCTCTTGATTCTATTCAATTCCAATCAATATCTTAGCAGGTTATTTTGTGGATATCAAAAACTGATTCTAAAATTTATATAAAGAGGCAAAAGATCAGAAGAGCAAATTCAATATTGAAAGAGATGAACAGATGACTGACTGACTTCAATACATAATGTAAAGCTGCAGTATTCAAGGAAATGGCATTCTGGCAAATAAATGAACACATAGATCCATGAACAGAGTAGAGACCTCAGAAATAGACCCACATGTAGCCTACTGATCTTTGACAAAAGAGCAAAGGCAGTATGATGGAGCAAAGGTAATCTTTTCAATAAATAGTGCTAAAACAACTGAAAATTCACATTCAAAAAAATGTAGACAAAGAATCTACACCATTCACAAAAATTAATTCAAAATGAGTCATAAACCTAAATGTAAAATGCAAAGCTGTATAATATAGGAGACAATCTATATGATCTCAGGTATGGCTATGACATTTTATATATATATTAAAGGCACAATCCATGAAAGCAAGAATAAGTTGGGCCTTCTTAAAACTGAAAACTTCTGCTGTGTAAAAGATATTTTGAAGAGAATTGAAGGATAAACCAGACTGAAAAAATATTTTCAAGAGACCCACAAAAGACTATTATCCAAAATATGCAAAATAACATTTAAAACTTTAATAAGAAAACGAACAACTTATTAATAAAATAACCAAAGACCTGATCAGACACCTCACCAAAGAAGGTATACAGATTGGAAATAAGTATATAAAACGAAGTTCCACATCATATGTCATCTGGGAAATGCAAATTAAAACAATAATGAGTGAGAACATGCGGTGTTTGGTTTTTTGTCCTTGCAATAGTTTGCTGAGAATGATGGTTTCCAGCTTCATCCATGTCCCTATAAAGGACATGAATTCATCCTTTTTCATGTCTGCATAGTATAGGAATTGAACAATGAAAACACTTGGACACAGGGTGGGGAACATCCCACACCAGGGCCTGTTGTGGGATGGGGGGAGGGGGGAGGGATAGCATGAGGAGATACACCTAATGTAAATGATGAGTTAATGGGTGCAGCACACCAACATGGCACATGTATACATATGTAACAAACCTGCACATTGTGCACATGTACCCTAGAACTTAAAGTATAATAAAAAAAAATGAGATATCACTATTCACCTTTTAGAATGGCCAAAATCCAGAACACTGACAACACCAAATGCTAGAAAGGATGAGGTACAGCAGGAACTCTCATTTATTTCTTGTGGGAATGCAAAATGATACAACCACTTTGGAAAAGAGTTTGGCAGTTTCTTACAAAACTAAACATAGTCTTACAATATGATACAACAATTACACTCCTTGCTGTTTACCCAAATGAATTGAAAATTTACGGCCCATAAAAACTTGCACATGAATGTTTATAGCGGCCTTATTTATAATTGACAAAACTTGGAACCAAAATGTTCTTCAGAAGGTGAAAGGATAAACTGCGGTACATCTGACAATGGAATATTATTCAGAACTAAAAAAATATGAGCTATGACGCCATGGAAGACATGAAAGAAACTTAAATGCATCTTATAAGTGAAAGAAGCCAAAGTGAAAAGGTTACATATATATGATTCCACCTATATGAGCTTCTGGAAAAGGAAAAATTATGGAGACAGTAAAAAGGTCGGTGGTTTCTAGCAGTTAGCAGGGAAGGAGTGATAAATAGGGAAAGCACACAGGATTTAAGGCAGTGAATCTATTCTGTATGCTATTACAGTGGTGAATACATGTTATTATACATTTATCAAAACCCATAGGATGCATAGCACTAACAGTGAACTCTAATGTAATGTATGGAGATGAATCAACGTAGGTTCATCTATTACAAAATACGTACTACGGTGGTGCAGGATGTTGATATGCACAACTAGGGAGGCTGTGCATGTGTGGGGACAGGAGCTATATTTGTACTCTGTGTATTTCCTGCCCAATTTTACTGTGAACCTTAAACTCTTTATGAAGTTTATTAATTTAAAAATTGTAGTTTTAAAATTCTCAATCTATTAACGTGCTTATGCTTCTATGGTGAAAAAATTCAGAAGTCAACAGATATAGGTTTAATTTCTGCCTGTGTGACTTTAGGCAAGTTATTTCACCTATTTTATACTCAGATTTCTGATCCATTAAATGGAGTTAAAAAGTCAGCTTCTGGGGCCGGGCGCAGTGGCTCAAGCCTGTAATCCCAGCACTTTGGGAGGCCGAGGTGGGCGGATCACGAGGTCAGGAGATCGAGACCATCCTGGCTAATACGGTGAAACCACGTCTCTACTAAAAAATACAAAAAATCAGCCAGGCGTGGTGGCGGGCGCCTGTAGTCCCAGCTACTCGGGAGGCTGAGGCAGGAGAATGGTGGTGAACCCAGGAGGCGGAGCTTGCAGTGAGCCGAGATGGCGCCACTGCACTCCAGCCTGGGGGACAGAGCGAGACTCCGTCTCAAAAAAAAAAAAAAAAAAAAGTCTGCTTCTGGGCTCTTTGTAAGTTATCAGTGTAAATATTATCACTGTAACTAATCTTCTATCAATTTCCTATTATTATAACATTATTCTTACTGAAAATAATCCCTCTTATTTAAATCTAACTCATTCTAATTAAATAATGTTGGACAAGAAAATTGTGTGAGTTGTCATTGTTTTTAAATTTTCATTTTTCTTTTGCAATGTATTATGCTGCTATTTTTTAGAAATACTATATAGTTGCTTAAAAATAATGTACTGTCTCAGTTTGGTGAAGAGTTTTCCATTTTTTTCTCCTCTTTCTGTTTCTAATGGTTTTGCTCAAATATTGTCTACTTTTTAAATTTTTAACTTTTTTTTTTTTAATTATACTTTAAGTTTTAGGGTACATGTGCACATTGTGCAGGTTAGTTACATATGTATACATGTGCCATGCTGGTGCACTGCACCCACTAACTCGTCATCTAGCATTAGGTATATCTCCCAATGCTATCCCTCCCCCCTCCCCGCTCCCCACCACAGTCCCCAGAGTGTGATATTCCCCTTCCTGTGTCCATGTGATCTCATTGTTCAATTCCCACCTATGAGTGAGAATATGCGGTGTTTGGTTTTTTGTTCTTGCGATAGTTTACTGAGAATGATGGTTTCCAATTTCATCCATGTCCCTATAAAGGACATGAACTCATCATTTTTTATGGCTGCATAGTATTCCATGGTGTATATGTGCCACATTTTCTTAATCCAGTCTATCATTGTTGGACATTTGGGTTGGTTCCAAGTCTTTGCTATTGTGAATAATGCCGCAATAAACATACGTGTGCATGTGTCTTTATAGCAGCGTGATTTATAGTCCTTTGGGTATATACCCAGTAATGGGATGGCTGGGTCAAATGGTATTTCTAGTTCTAGATCCCTGAGGAATCGCCACACTGACTTCCACAAGGGTTGAACTAGTTTACAGTCCCACCAAAAGTGTAAAAGTGTTCCTATTTCTCCACATCCCCTCCAGCACCTGTTGTTTCCTGACTTTTTAATGATTGCCATTCTAACTGGTGTGAGATGATATCTCATAGTGGTTTTGATTTGCATTTCTCTGATGGCCAGTGATGATGACCATTTTTTCATGTGTTTTTTGGCTGCATAAATGTCTTCTTTTGAGAAGTGTCTGTTCATGTCCTTCGCCCACTGGTACCAAAACAGAGATATAGATCAATGGAACAGAACAGAGCCCTCAGAAATAACGCCGCTTACCTACAACTATCTGATTTTTGACAAACCTGAGAAAAACAAGCAATGGGGAAAGGATTCCCTATTTAATAAATGGTGCTGGGAAAACTGGCTAGCCATATGTAGAAAGCTGAAACTGGATCCCTTCCTTACACCTTATACAAAAATCAATTCAAGATGGATTAAAGATTTAAACGTTAGACCTAAAACCATAAAAACCCTAGAAGAAAACCTAGGCACTACCATTCAGGACATAGGCGTGGGCAAGGGCTTCATGTCCAAAACACCAAAAGCAATGGCAACAAAAGCCAAAATTGACAAATGGGATCTAATTAAACTAAAGAGCTTCTGCACAGCAAAAGAAACTACCATCAGAGTGAACAGGCAACCTACAACATGGGAGAAAATTTTCGCAACCTACTCATCTGACAAAGGGCTAATATCCAGCATCTACAATGAACTCAAACAAATTTACAAGAAAAAAACAAACAACCCCATCAAAAAATTTTTAACTTTTTTAGAAATGGGATGTTACAATGTTGTCCAGGCTGGCCTTGAAGTCCTGGGCTCAAGTGATCCTCCCACCTTGGCTGGCCTCCAAAACTGCTGGGATTATAGGTGTGAGCTACCATGCCCACATCTCTAGCCTTTCTGGTTTTATATGCTTGATCTGTCCATTTCTAATATATATAAGTTAAAGTTATCCTTTTTATTTTGAAAGCATTTTTTACTGTTAATTCTGTTTTTCTTTTTTAATCTGTAATTCTGCTTATGGTTTTGTTTGATAGATATTGAGCATTTCTAATCTGAAAATCAGAAGTCCAAAATGCTCCACAGCTGAAACTTTTTGAGCACTGACATCACATAACAAATAGAAAATTCCACATCTGACCTCATGTTACAGGTGGCAGTCAGAATGCATGCACACAACAAACAATTTATTCAACATTCCCAAGGGAAAAAAAGACCTTCCCAGACCCCTTAAGCTGCAATGTATCTTTTACTTGAATGCCCAGATTCCTCCACATGAGCACTCTCACAAAAGGTAATAATATGGCAGATGTCCAGGCTGGATATGCCAACAGACGGTTCCCATGATGCCCTACGTGGGGCTAAGTCCTACATGAATTACTTCATGCATTTTTTTTTTGCTTGTGGTATAAAGATATTGTTGAAAATATCAAAAAGGCCCACAGATACCCTTATGAGTAACAATGATAAGAAAAAGAGGAAGCATTTATATTCATCTATAGTACAGAAAATCAAGGTGTTGGAGACATTGGACTGGGGTATAAGTATGAAATGTTGTAAGGAAAAGTATTGTGTTAGAATGACCAACATATATGACCAGAAGAAACAGAAGGATAAATTCTCGAAGTTCTATCATGACAGTGATAAACAGAAGTTAGTAAAAAAATAGAAAAACACTGCATAATGCTAAAAATGAAGACCTTGATTGTGTATTAAAATAGTGAATCTGTTACTGTCACAGTGAACACATGACACTTAATGGTATGCAGATTATAAAAAAAGCAAACATTTATCACAACTAACTAAAAATTGAAAAGAACTGTGAATATTCAACAGAATGGTTGTAGAAATTTAAGAAATAATAGCATTACATTTTTAAAAATTTGTGGTGATAAAGCATCTGCTGATCACAAAGGAGCAGATTCATTGACAGGTTTGCCAGGTCGTCGCTGATAAAAGTCTGATGCCATAACAAGTTTATACAGCAGACAAAACATCTTTGTTTCAGTATTATTGCCCCAGAAAGACACTGATTAACAGCTCATGAGAGAGCCTTTTTAGGAATTAAGAACGCCAAGAATAGAATAATTGCTGGGATGTGCTAATGCAACAGGCATACATAAGCATAAACCTGCTGTGATAGGAATAAGCTTGTGTCCTCTTTGTGTTAAAGGAGTAAATTTTTTACCAGTTTATAATTATGCTAAAAAAGGCATGAATCTCCACAGCCATCTTTTCTGATAGGTTTCACAAATGTGTTGTACCAACAGCTCATGCTCACTGCAGGGAAGCCAGACTGGATGATAACTATAAGATTTTGTAATTCCTTGACAACTGTTCTGCTCATTCTCCAGGTAAAATTTTTATCAAAAATAATATTTATGCCATGTACTTTCCCCAAATGTGACTTCATTAATTCCATGTGACCAGGATATCCTTAGATCAATGAAAAGTAAATATAAAAATACTTTCTTGAATGCCTGCTAGCAGCAGTAAACAAAGGCATGGGTGTGAAAGGTTCTCAAAGGAGTTTAGCATGAAGGATGCTATATATTCTGTTGCCAATGCTTGGAACACAGTGACTAAAAACAGAGTTGTGCATGCCTGGCACAATCTCAAGCCTGTGACTATGTTCAGTGATAATGATAAACAAGGTGGTGACTTTAGAGGATTCCATATGTCAAGTGAGAAAAAAAATGATGTCTAACATCCTTAAATATGTAAAAATGTATCTTTGGAGTCTCTCAATAAACTGGAAAAAGTGAATACCAAGAAAATGTGTAATGGATACATAATATTTGTACACTTGTATACATTTAATAGCTACATGTCCTATTTTGATAAAAGCATTCAATATGTAATGATAAAAGAGGACATTTTTGTTTCTAAAAGTAATCAGATGGCTGCCCCTTGCAAACAAATTATATCAGATAGCCAACTGTATTCCCATCATTAAGAGGCTCTAGATATTTTAATTAGTAAATAATTTAATTTAGGAAATTGAATTTTTGTAAACATTGTTGAAAGAGTAAAGATATATGTTTAAGTCTACAAATGATTTCTAAAATAATACTCAACTGACCCACTCTTGATAAGAGCTATTACCTCTGGGGGGTAAGTTGGAATCGAAAAGCTATCATATGCAGGGGGGCCCTTTATTCTTCACATCCAGGCAGATCTCTAGGCAGCTGGCGCTCCCACTCACCTGGATCAATGGCCTCAGCTGCCCTACCCTTTGTTATGAAGTGACCATGGTGAAGCTGGGCCATCCCAGCTCCTAACACAGGCATAACTCTAGGCATTCAGGTCACTCACTCAACTGAATCAGCAGCCTGAGCAACACCATCATGTTTGTATAGAGATTGTGATGCAGTGGCGCTCCCTATGGTCCATGCCCAGAAAGCTTTCTGGGCATCTAGAGCACCCATTCCCCAGAAGCAGGAATTTAGACCACCTCTCCTCCTCATGCAGAGAACTTGAGGCTAAGGTGGTTTCCCATCTCTACACCTAGGCACACTTCTGGGTGCTTGTGGCCACCTAGTGGGACCCACTCAACACTGGTGCTTGTACTTGCCACTGGGGGACCCATAGGTGGGTCTGCCCTGTGTGGCCCCACCTATCATGTTCCCCTCCTTCCAGGCTTGAGTAGGGAGCTCAGATCACTGTGTGCTCCACAGATTAGCCCATTACCTGAGGCAACAGAGAGCTCCTTCCAGTAAACAGGATCAAGTAGATATCCATCTATGTTGGTCTCAGCTTGCTCTTTCCCATAAGTGCCATCTATGCCAGTTGAAAAGGTTCAAACACATAGCCTGTTAACAGAAGGACATAGGACAATAGAAGTGAAGCCAAAGACTCTACCTAATATTCTCTACAGTCATACCCCCTATTGAGGTGGGAAAGGAAAAGAAAAAAACATCCTATCCACATGAAAATTAGTACAAAAATTAGAAGTGCCAGTGTCTTAAGCCAAAAAGAAACTAGCACAGGAATTCTGGCACCATGAAAAATCTGAATGATGTGACACCACCAAAGGATCACACTAACTCTCCAGCAATGGTCCCTAACAAAAATGGAAGCTAAGAAATGACAGATAGAGAATGTAAAATATGGATGGCAAAGAAGCTAAACAAGATCCAAGACGAGTTTGAAAATCAACACACAAAAAAACTTCTAAATCAATCCAGAAAATGAGGGAAGAGATAAGCATCTTAAAAAGAAATCAATCAGGGCTTCTGGAATTGAAAAACACACTTAAAGAATTTTAAAATACAATTCAAAGCTTAGTCTATAGATTACACCAAGAAGAAAAAAATTCAGAGCTTGAAGACCTGTCTTTTCAACTAACCACTAAATAAAAATAAGGAAAAAAAAGAATTATAAAAAACAAAGTATTCAAGAAACATGTGACTATGTAATGTGACCAAACCTATGAATAATTGGCATTCCTGAGAGAGAAGGGGGAAAAATAAACAAGCTGGGAAATGTATTTGAGGGAATAATTCAAAAAATTTCCCTAATATTGCTAGAGAAGAAGACATGTAGATTTAAAAAAAAAAAAAAAGCATTGAACACTTGCAAGATACTATACAAAACAAACATCACCAAGGCATATGGTTACCAGACTATCCAAGGTTAACATTAAAGAAAAACCTTAAAGACAGAGAAAAAGGTCAACTTATGTATCAGGAAAACCCCATCAGGCTACCAATGTACTTCTCAGCAGAAATCTTACAAAGCAGAAGAGATTGGCAGCTTATTTATGGTATTCTCAAAGAAAAGAAATTCCCATGAAGAATTTCATATCCCACCAAAGCACTAGCAACGGAGAAATAAAATATTTTCCAGATGAGCAATTACTAAGAGAATTTGTTACCACAAGACTAGACCTACAACAGATCATTATGGGTATTCTAAACTTGAAAATGAAAGAAAAATACCTGCTACTACAAAAACACACTTAAGTACATAGCCCACAGACCCTATAAAGCAACTATGCAATAGAAACTACAAAGCAGCAGGTAACAACTTCATGACAGGATCAAAACCTCACATATCAATAGTAATATTCAATGTAAATAGTCTAAGCCTCCCACTTAAAAGGCATAGAGTGGCAAGTTGAATAAAAAAAACAAGATCCTTCTACTCCTATCTTCAGGAGACCCATCTCACTTTTAATGACACTCAAAGACTCAATGTAAAGGGTTGTAGAATAATCTATCATGCAAATGGAAAACAGAAAAGAGCAGGATTACTATTTTTATATCAGATAGAACAGATGTTAAACCAACAACAGTAAAAAGGGACAAAGAAGGGCATTAAATAATGATAAAAGGATCACTTCAACTAGACCACTTAGCTATTTTAAATATAAATATACACCCAACATCAGAGCACTCAGATTCATAAAACAAGCATTTCTAGATGTACAAAAAGAATTAGCCACACAATAATAGTGGGTGACTTCAACACTCCACTGATGTAGCTTTAGACAGATCATGAAGGCAGAGAACTAACAAAGAAATTCTGAACTTAAATTCACCACTTGACCAATTGGACCTAATAGACATCTACAGAATACCCAACAACCAATAGAATATACATTCTTCTCATCTGCACACAGAACATGCTCTAAGATTGACCACATGCTTGGGCATAAAGCAAGTCTCAATAAACTAAAAAAATTTAAATCATGCCAACCATACTCTTGGACCACAGCAGAAAGAAAATAGAAATCAATACCAAAAGATCTCTTCAAACCATGCAATTACATGGAAATCAAATGACTTGCTCCTGAATCACTTTTGCATCAACAATAAAATTTAGGAGGAAATAAAAAAAATCTTTGAAACAAATAAAAATAGAGACACAACATAACAAAAAGCCAGAGGTGTTGGTGTGCAGCAAAAGCAGTGTTAAAAGGAAAGTTTATAGTGATAAATATCTACATCAAGAAGTTAGAAAGGTTGTAAATTAAAGATCAAACACCACATCTAGAAATTAAATAACTAAAATCAGAAGAGAACTGAACAAAATTGAGACTGAAAATTTCATACAAAGAATCAACAAACTTTAAAGGAATAAACAAGATCAATAGACTACTAGGTAAACAAAGAGAAAAAGGGAGAAGATCCAAATAAGCATAGCCCAAACAACAAACATGACATTACAACTGATATCACAGAAATATAAAAGATCCTCAGATAATGATATGAACACCTTTAAGCATACAAAGTAGAAAATTTAGAGAAAATTGATAAATTACTGGAAACACACAACCTCACAAGATTGAATCAGGAAGAAATTGAAACCCTGAACAGACTGATATTGAGTTCTGAAATTAAATAAGTAATTTAAAAAAAAAAAGCTTAGCAACCAAAAATCTCAAACAAACAAACAAACAAAAAAACCCAAAGCCCTGGACCAGATGGATTCAAATTCTACCAGATGTACAAAGAAGAACTGCAACCACTTCTACTGAAACTATTCCAAAAGGTTGAAAAGCGGATTCTCCCTAATTCCTTTTACAAAGTCAGCATCACCTTGATACCTAAACCTGGCAAAGACACAACAACAACAACAAACTACAGGCCAATACTCCCAATGAATGTAGACGCAAAAATCCTCAACAAAATTCAAGCAAACGAAATCCAATAGCACATCTAAAGGTAATCAGGCTGGGCACAGTGGCTCACACCTGTAATCCTAACACTTTGGGAGGCTGAGGCAGGTGGATCACCTGAGGTCAAGAGTTGGAGACCAGCCTGGCCAACATGGCGAAACCTTGTCTCTACCAAAAACACAAAAATTCATCAGGCGTGGTGGCATTCACCTGTAATCCCAGCTACTTGGGAGGCTGAGACATGAGAATTGCTTGAACCTGGGAGGTGCAGTTTGCGGTGAACTTTAACAGCACCACTGCACTCCAGTCTGGGCAACAGAGTGAGATTCTGTCTCTAAATAAATAAACAGTAATTCATCACAATCAAGTAGGCTTTATTCCTGGGATCCAATGTTGGTTCAACATATGCAAATCAATAAATGTGATTCACCACATAAACCAAATTAAAAACAAAATCCTTATGATCATCTTAAGAAACACAGAGAAAGCTTTCAATAAAATCCAACATCCTTCTATGATAAAAACCCTCAACAAAGTAAGCATTGAAGGAACATACTTCAAAATAATAAAAGCCATCTATGACAAACCCACAGCCAACATCATGCTGAATGAGCAAAAACTGGAGTAATTCCTCTTAATAACAGGAACAAGACAAAGATGTCCACGATTATAACTCCTATTCAGCATGGTACTGGAAGTCTTAGAGCAACCAGGCAAGAGAAAGAAATAAGAGGCATCCAATTAGAAAAAGAAGTCAAATTATCTCTCTTCACTGACATTATGACTCTACTGATACTATATCCTAGACACTCTGCCAAAAGACTTTTAGAACTGATGAACTATTTCAGTAAAGTTTCAGGATACAAAATCAATGTACAAAAATCAGTAGCATTTCTATAAACCAATACTGTTCAAGCTGAGAGACAAATCAAAAATGTAATACAATTCAAAACAGCCACACAGCAAAATAAAATACCTAGAAATACATCTAACCAAAGAGATAAAAGATCTCTACAAGGAGAACCACAGAATATTGCTGAGAGAAGTCATAGATAACACAAACAAATAGAAAAACATTCCATGCTCATGGATCAAAAGAATCAATAGCATTAAAGTGATCATACTGCCCAAAGCAATTTACAGATTCAACACTGTTCCTATACAACTACCAGTCATTTTTCATATTCTAAAATTCATATGGAACCAAAAAAGAACCCCAAATAGCCAAAGCAATCCTAAGCAAAAAGAATAAAGCCAGAGACATGACATTACTCACATTACCCGACTTCAAACTATACTAAAAGTCTACAGTAACCAAAGCAGCTTCGTAATGGTACAAAAGCAGACACATAGGCTGATGGAACAGAATAGATAACCCAGACATAAAGCCTCACACAACAAACTGATCTTTGAAAAGGTCAACAAAAATAAACAGTGGGAAAAAGAGTTCCTATTCATTAAATGGTGCTGGGAGAACTGGCTAGCCACATGCAGAAGAATAAAACTGGACCCCTACTTTTCACCATATACAAAAATTAACTCAAGATCTGTTAAGGGTTTAAATGTAAGACCTCAAACTAAAAATTATACAAGAAAACCTGGGAAATACCCTTCTCAGCATCAGCCTTGACCAAGAATTTATGGCTAATTCCTGAAAAGCAATTGCAACAAAAAGAAAAATTGACAAATTGAACCTAATTAAACTAAAGAGCTTTTGCACAACAAAAGAACCTACCAACAGAGTAAACAGACAATCTACAGAATGGGAAAGAATATTCACAAACTATGCATCTGACAAAGGTCTAATATGCAGAATATATAAGAAACTTAAATCAACAAGCAAAAACCAAACAACCCCATTAAAAAATGGACAAAGCATATGAACTGAAGCTGCTCAAAAGAAGGCATGTAAGCAGCCAACAAGCCTATGAGAAAATGCTCCACATCACTAATTATCAGAAAAATGCAAATCAAAACTACGATGAGATACCTACCATCTCACACTATTCACAATGGCTATTATTGAAAAGTCAAAAAATAACAGATGTTTATAAGGCTGCAGAGAAAGGGCAGTCCTTATACACTGTTGGTGGGAACGTAAATTAGTTCAGCCACTGTGAAAACCAGTGTGGAGATTTTTCAAGGGGCGTAAAACAGACCTACTATTTCACCCAGCAATCACATTACTGCATATATACCCAAAGGAAAATAAATCATTCTACCAAAAAGACATATGTACTTGTATGTTTATCACAGCACTATTCACAATAGCAGAGACTTGGAATCAACCTAGATTCTCATCAACAGTGGACTGGACAAAGAAAAATGTGGTACATATATACCATGGAATACTATGCAAACATAAAAAGAATATAAAATCATGCCCTTAGTGGCAACATGGATGCAGCTAGAGGCCATTATCCTAAGCAAGTAATGAAGGAACAGAAAACAAAACACCATATGTTCTCACTTATAAGTAGGAGCTAAACATGTAGTATACATGGGCATAAAGATGGGAGCAATGGACATTGGAGACTGCTAGAGAGAGGAAGGAGGAAGGAGAGGGCTCAGGGTCTGCCTATTGGGTGCTATGCTCATTGCCTGGGTTACTGGATCATCTGGGCCCCAAACCTCAGTGTCACATGGTGTTCCCATATGACAGATCTGCACATGTACCCTCAGATTTAAAGTGAAATTTGAAATTATTGGAAAAAAAGACCCATATAGATACGAAGCTGAATTTTTGAATTCAGAAAGAGCAAAATAGTAGGACTAATAAATAAATTCAAAATCTTGTGCTCTCTTATAATTAGAAGGTATTCACTCTGTGATATTTTTTCCAAAGCCTATATTCCCAGTCTAATTAAGTGAAAGATCAGATAAATCCAAATTGAGGGACATTTTACAAAATATCTAATCAGTACTTTTCAAAATTGTCAAGGTCATGAACAAGGAAAGATAGCCAACTGTTCTACATCAGAGGAGACTCGGGAGACACGCTGACTAAATGCAATGTAGGATCCTGGAATGGATCCTAGAACAGAAAAGGGATATTAGTGCAAAAATAGACAAAATCCAAATGTAGTTTGCGGTTTAGTTAATAAAACTGTACTAACGTTAATTTCTTATTTTTGAAAATGTACCTTGGTTATTTAAGATGTTAGTTGGCATTGAGGGGAACTAGTTAGAGAATATCTGAGAATTTTCTGTACTGTCTTCACAATTTTCCTGTAGATCAAAAATTATTTCAAAATAAAAAGATTGTATTTTTTAAAAAAAGGAATAAAGAATATCTAGAAAATCTAAATAGAGCAATTAAAATGGAAGGAATAAAATAACTATCAAAGGGCTACCTTTCCCAAAAAGAAAACAGAAAAACAACCACAACTTCTGTCTGTGTAACTCCTTCTGGATACCTTAGAAAGTAGGGGGAAAAAAATATTTTATCCTGGAATGCCAGATCAGAATTATTTCTCTGCTATTGCTGCTGCCTTAATGATGTCTCAAATTCTTGAAAGGTAAAGAATGGGTAATGGAACGTTGTTGTGAAGAAAGTTCGTGTCCGTCAACTATTCTAGCTTTTTTACTACTTGTATTGCTTTCTAATTCCTTGGGGGAAAATGTGTGTGCAGATAGATAGATAGATAGATAGATAGATAGATAGATAGATAGATAGATAGATAGATGTATGGATGACAGATACACAGTTTAGATAGATTCCCATACACTTTTCAATTTTTAGTTTCTTCCATCATTTTTATTTTTTTCTGTAGCTAATAACTTCTCAGTTATTGACTGCCTATAATAACTTTTCTATAGATTTACCAATATGTTTTTAAATTTTGATTTAGAGGCTTCTTTTGAGCCAGGCATGTACTTCTAAGTTTTGTTCCTCCCTCTTCTTTCCTTCTGTGTTCACCTATCTCTGTGGAAGGACTTTTCATTTTTCCTCCACACATACTTTTGGTCTCCTTGTCCAGAAGTAGGTCAACGTTGGTTCTTAGAGGCTTCTACCCTGAGAGGATATTGAGAACATACCCAGTATCTATTTCCCACAGGTAATAGAATATCTTGATGTCCTCTGCTGCTGTACTATGAGCTCAGCAGATTTAAAACTTAAGCCCCATTCGTTGCATTTTGCATTTTTTCTTTTGATTCACAGCAATTCATGTGTTTTACTTCTCAATTGCTATCACTTTTTAATAGTATTAATATTTTAAACATATTTTCCTTATCACTGCTGACTTTGACATTGTGGAATGGCCTCAAATGTAAACTTTTATTCACATCCTTTGGATGTCTTTATTTTTGTATCTTCTAGATATGTAGAATCTGTAAATTGTAAACTGTCACTTACAAGTTTGGTAGAAAATGATCAGTGGCTGACCTGTTTATGTGACATGTGAGCACTCATGAGTACAGGCTAGAGATGGAAGTTTTTCTCATACTACATGTGGGAGTCACAGAACAGGCACTGAAAATACATTATTTCAAGTGTAGCAAAGCCACAGTGGGCAATTGCTTACTAGATGCTGACAGCCAGGAAGGGGGTAATACGTAACAATGTAATCTTTAGATAAAGATCTAACGATTACCCCACTACAAAGTGTAGGTAGTTAAGAGAAAGTCAGGCACACTTTTTAAACACTCTGGACTGAATGGTTTTCATTTTTAAATGAGGAGAGGGACAAGTGGAATGAAGGAGGAAAGGAAGGAACCAGGGGAGGAATGAGGCAGAGAGGGAAGGAAGAAAGGAAAGAAGAAAGGGAGACAAACACAATATTTATGTATACAAGATTGTTGCAGAAGACCTAATGAAGTTCTACTCCATGATCTAGAAGAAAATATCTCTGAACATTATTTGCTGTTGGAAAGAGAAAAGGGGTTTAGAAAACACTTGGAGGCTTCAGAATTAAAATGGTGGTAGATAACATATGTATGATATTGTTCCTTCCAGTCACCAATTAGAGAACTCTTGGATTCAGCAATAACCCGAAGTGAACCGAAGAAAAGACTACAGACCTAAATCTGGATGAGAATTCTGCTTGATAAGTCATGACACATTCTTGTAATATATACAAAACAATCCACATTCTGGACCAAAATAAATCCCATAAATAAGATAGGACATAAAAAAAATTCAGAACACAGTGAACAGCCCTATCTCCAACATGCATTGGCTTCTCTCCCTCTTATACCTAAGTAGAACTAGGTTGATCCAAAAGTTGTGTTCAGAAGTATAGAATTGAAAAAGCAAGAAGCAGCACTGGGGAAGAAGTAAAGGAATTAGATAGTATATAGCTTTTTATGTTCTAAGAAAATTCCAATAGTAAGTGAATGTTGGAACAAGAGAATCTTAGCGTTGAGGCAGCAGATGATCCAAGTACAGTTTACAGAACTACTCTACGAATTGCAAATCAAGCTTAGGCTGGTGCTTCAGGCTGAGATTTAAGAGGATAAACCACCTACTACTCAAATAGTGACAGAAGCTGTGAGACCTGGTATCTACCCTGAGGGCAAATACTCTACCCATTCAAGGCAAATAAAAATAAATCTGTGAATTACCACAAGAACATAAATAAAAAGAAAATTATACCTAATAGTCATAAGAAAAATATAACTTTGAAAATAACCTTCATAAGAAAAATAGGTATTTTTTCTAAGCAAGCAGCAGCTTGTTGTCTTTGAAATAATGCAAGAGGAAATGAGTTACATGAAGCAGAAGCAAGAAGCCTTAAGGAGAAAACTGTCTGAGTTAAGATGAAAGGCGGGGTGGAGGGGCCTGGCACCATCAGAGTGGCATAATAAAAATCCACATTGGAGGTAGTCCCAATTGGATTTGATTATAGAAAATCAAGTTAGTCGTATGGAGGATAAATCTGAGAGGCTTACCCAGAATGCAGAGAAAGGGGAATGATTAAAATCTAGTTAAATAACATGTGAAAAGATAAAGAACTGAAATCCAATCCAATGATTAAGTATTATTAATTTTCCAGGAAAAGAAACAAAAGTATAAACAGAATTATTTCTTGATCTAAAAACAAACAGATAAGCAAATAAACAACACCTGAAATCATATAAATAAGCTAATCAATTTAAGAGTGGGGTAGGCTAAATAATGCCCCCCCCAAGATATTTACATCCCAATCTCTGAAATCTATAAATGTCACCCTGTACAGAAAAGGGACTTTGCAGATATATTAAATTAAGGATTTTTAAATGGGGAGATGATCCTGGATTATCTGGGTGGGTTCTAAATGTAATCACAAGTGTCCTTGGGAAAGGAGAGTATGGGATAGTCTACCACAGAAGTGGGGAAGTCAGTTTGACCAGGGAAGCAGAGATTGGAGTGATGCAGCCACAACCCAAGAAATGCCAGCAGCCGCCAAAAACTGGAAGAGGCAAAGAACAGATTCTCCCCTGGAGCTTCCAAGAAGGAGCCAAGCCCTCCCAACAAACCTTTATTTCAGCCCAGTGAGATTTATTTTGGATTTCTGCTTTCCAGAATTGTAAAAGAAAACATATGTGTTGTTTCAAGCTGCTACATTTTTGGCAATTCATTACAGTAATAGGAAACAAATACAGATTAAGATATTAATTTATTTAAAGATTCTTGAAAAATATTTAACTCAAGAGAGAAATTAGGTCTAAAAGCATCCAAGAAGAAAAGCAAAACAAAAATTAGCAAATAAACTTTTAAAAAAATGTGACTGATCCCATGATTCTCCTGCACAAAGTAAACTTCAGAATACAATAAACAAAGTTTCAGTTACAAAGAACTCAAAGAATTTCACTTACAGGCAAGTTAACATTCAAATTGTTCATATGAAAACTTTAACTGAGACTTGGTAGATCTCAAAAGATATATTTTCAAAAATAATTAAAAACTACCCTGTCTGTACTTAAAAAAAAAAAAAAAATTAGCCTGGATGGTAGCAGGCGCCTGTAATCCCAGCTACTAGGGAGGCTGAGGCAGGAGAATCGCTTGAACCCTGGAGGTGGAAGTTGCAGTGAGCTGACTTTGCGCCACTGCACTCCAGCCTGGGGGACACTGCGAGACTCCGTCTCAAAAAAAAAAAAAAAAAAAAAAAACAACTACTCAAAACCTAAAACCATAGTATAAAGTGTTTTCATGAGAGCATTGAAAATGGTAAACCAAACAATGTATATAAATAATCACAATTGAGACCATTGACAATCAGAATGAAAATATAAAACTTAATGTAAATTTTAATCTAAATAACAATCTAAGATCCAAAATTTACATTATGGTTATATGATTGGGAAAACAAAGGCAGATTATAAATATATGCTAATTTTTTTATCTTGAATGTGGAAAAACCAAATGTCATCCTTACCACATTTATTTGCTTTTTTCCTTTTTAATTTATGAAAATTTTCAAATATAGAAACAGCAGAAGACAAATACAATGTATATCTACATTTATACCACCTAGATTGATTGATAACATTTTCTCATATTTGCTTTACCTTAAATTTGTTTCAATTTTTCAGAGACACATATACGCACACACCACACATTCACAATTATGTGTCATATGTTTCAGTCAAGACTGGAATGCATGTACAACAGTGGTCTCATAAGATTATAAAAACGCATCTTCACTGCACCTCTTCTATGTTTAGATATGCAAATATCATTTTGTTACAATTGTCTACAGTGTTCAGTACAGTAACATGCTGTACAGGTTTATAGCCTAGGAGCAATAGGCTATACCATATAGCCCAGGTGTGTAGTAGGCTATAGCATCTAGGTTTGTGTAAGTATACCCTATGATGGTCGTATAATGATATTGCCTAATGATGCATTTCTCAGAACATATCCACATCATTAAGCAACACACAACTGTGTGTGTGTGTGTGTGTGTGTGTATGTGTATAAAATTTGCCTCCTCCATATTTTTTACCCAAAAAGTAAAATTCTACTATCTTTTGAAAAGAAAAAGTATTTGATGGCCAATTGGTAGTACTACAGAGGACCTTCCCAACTACGTAATACAAAATGAAACGTAATACTTCATTTTGTACCTTACTTGCTCCTATTGATGGGCATTTAGCTGGTGTTTTGCTCTTATAAATAAGCTACATAAAAAACCTTGTGCATACATTGTTTTATGTTTGTGGAGGTCTATTTTAAAGGTGGATTTCATGAAGTGAAATTCCTGGGTTAGAGGTAGAATGTATAGGTAATTTTTCTTGATAGTGCCAAGTAATTCTCCAGTGGATCTGCACAATTTTTCATGCTTATCAGCAATACATAATAAGTATTCTCCAAACCTTTGCCAACTGAGTGTGTGAACAAACTTTTGAATTTTTGCCAACCTGCTAGTAAGAAGTGGTATTTCAGTGTAATTTTGATTTACACTGCTCTTTGTGTAAGTGACATTGAGCATGTGTTCATGTTTTTTAGAGTCATTTGTCTTTTCTTTGAATTATTCTCATATTTATTATCATTTTATTTAATTTTTATGAACTCTTTACTTGGGGAATATTCCTTTGTTTATGAAAGAAGTTGGAAATATTTTCTCCTAGTTCATCATATTAATTTTGTTTATGGAACTTCTCCTCCAACCCCAACCTAAGCATCCCCCGCCACACACAGGCTTTTTATTCTTCAGGTATTTGAATTTATCAGGCCTCTTACTGCTTCTGAGTTTTGAGTCAACAATTATCAGCAAGGTCTTTCATGTTCCCAGATTATAAAGGAATTAATGCATATTTTACTCCAGTGAATCTATGGTTTCATTTATCTTACACATAGGTTTCTGAGACCCATTTATGTTTTTCTAAATGGTTACCCAGTTATCTCAACAAATGTTTTAAAGTCTTTATTTTCCCCCACATATTTTAGAAGTCAGTTTTACCATATACCACATTTTATTTTATATTTACCCTTTGCCTGTTTTTTCTACTTTTAGGAGGTTTTTACCTGCCTGTTCTGCATTACTTGTTTTTCACACAAAAAATATTATTAAGATTGCATTTAATTTATATATTAACTTGGGATGAATTGGCATATTTATGATGTTGAATTATGCTACCTAAAAACAAAAATGTCTTTCCATGTATTCAAACCTCTCATTGTGATATTCAGGTTTAGTCTAATTCTTTCTAAATTTTGTACTTTTCTTCTTTGTGTTTCTGGGCATTTTATCTTTTTTTCCTGCCTAAATCTTCTCCTCCATTATGTCTTCTAATGAGTTATCATTTGTTAAATGAAATTTATTTATTTTTGTATATTAATTATTATTCTGCTACCCCAATGAATACTCTTACACTTACTTATTTTATTGATTTTCTTAGGTACATTATCCTATCCTATGGCAATAGACATAATCTTATCTATTCTTTTCCAGTGCTTATATGTCTCAACATCTCTTACCTAAGAGCATTTACCAGCACTTAAAATAAACCTCCAAAAAATCATATTGGTAATAGTATTCAAATCTTCAAACTTTTTGACCTTGGTGGTAAAGTGTCCACTGTTTACACATTTTTTTAAATGCTGACTTTTGAAATAAGGTATATCTATTTTACCATATTAATAAAATATCCATTGATTTTTCTTCCATTAACTGTTTTGGTCTGTTTATATTAAATTAGCAGTTGGTATTGAATTTTGTTGAATGCCTTTTCAACATTAGTAGAGGTAATCAGAACATTGCTATTATGAATTAATATGTGAAGTATATTAATATTGAATTATCCTCATATTACTATAATAAATTAGGTCATGGTTTATTATTTAATATGCTAAAATTATGTTAGCTAACATTTTATTTAGGATTTTTCTCTAATTTTTACTTTTTGTGCAATATAAACATTGTACATAGCTATCAATGTTTCCTTTATTCAAAATATATTTGGAGGTGGCTTTTTTTTCATGTACTAGAAAAGTAGAATTGGAATTATCTGTTTTGGGCTAAATGCATAGAATTTTCCTTGATGATATTTTACTACATTGCTTTTTTTTTTGTGGGATGTGGGGCTGGAATAACATGTCTTACATTTTAGATAAATTTATCTGTTGATTCAATGGAAGTTTGTCAATTTAGTTTTCTTTGTCTGCTTGAGTTGATTTGGATTATTATATTCTTGCTAGGATATCATGTAATTCTTTTATTATTTAAAGGTATTTATAAAAATATGTGCAAAATAGCCTGATTTTTTTAATTTTCTGAATTTAAATGTTTATGTTTTTCTTGTAATATCTCATTTTGTGTATTTTTACTTTTATCCTTTTAATTTTATTGATTAAATTAGCTAATAGTTGTTCTGTTTTGTCTATTCTTTATAAATAATCCATATTTGATTCATTTATTTGTTATTTTTCTGTTTTCTTTTTTTTTTTGTTTTAACCTTTATTGTATTCTTTCTTTCCACAATATTTTATTATCAAAAATTTGATGGCCGGCTGGGCACGGTGGCTCACGCCTGTAATCCCAGCACTTTGGGAGGCCGAGGTGGGCAGACCATGAGGTCAGGAGATCAAGACCATCCTGGCTAACATGGTGAAACCCCATATCTACTAAAAAAAGTACAAAAAAATTAGCCGGGCATGGTGGCACGGGCCTGTAGTCCCAGCTACCAGGAGGCTGAGGCAGAATGGTGTGAACATGGAGGCGGAGCTTGCAGTGAGCGGAGATCGCGTCACTGCACTCCAGCCTGGGCGACACAGCGAGACTCCGTCTCAAAAAAAAAAAAAAAAAAAGAAAAAGAAAAAAAGAAAAAAAAATGGCCTTATTGCAGTCTTACTTATATTAATTTAGCATTTACTTATAAATAATATTCCTGTTAGTATTTTAATTGTATTGCACAGGGGCTAATATGTAGTGCTTTTCTTATCTTTTTTTAAGAAATACTGCAATATTCTATTCAAAAGCTATTTAACTCTGTGTTCTAAAATTTGTATTACGTATTTTTAACTTTAGTATTTTATAGCGAATAGATATCATTTTTAATAATTTTATCTTATTGAACCTACTGAGATTTTCCTTTGTGAGCTAATATTCACTCATTAAAGAATTTGTGTGTACTCTTATTGGTGCAAGATCAATATCTATTTTAAGTTTTTTACTCATTAAATGTCTTAGATTTTCAATATTTTTACTTACATTTTAGTTGCTTGATTTTTCCATGAAAGCTGTGTCACAGTTCAATTTTTGGTGTGTGTTTATTTCTTTTGTATCTTCTGAAGTTTCTGCTTCATGAAGATTACTGTTTCTGGATGCATAGATGTTTATAATTATTTTATCTTCATTTTAAATTGTGACATTTAGCATTATAAATCTTTCTTTGTGTTAGTCAAAGTCGTTTATATTTTTTCTGAATTCTATCTTGGCAAATGTCAAGTGTAATAGTGTTTGGCACATAGTATTTATTGTTATTTCTAGCAAAATATAATAATACATGTAGAGAAGGGAATAACAGATACACAAATTAATCAGTTGTAATAAATGAAAATGAGTAATACATGAGTCAGACTGAATTAAAAAGTATTATGTAATTACATGCTGTTTACATCATATCCAAATAATGTAATAGACAAAGAAAGTGTAATAGAGATTACCTATAAATTTGTTAATTAATCTAAAAAATGTTTAAGCCTATAAGAAGATAATCACAAGAAACCCCACTAATATAAATGAGATTAACAGTCTTCTTGTTCTTTAGTAGACTAGATAGATATGAATATGGAAATAGAGGGATTGAGACTAAAATTAACAAATGGCAAAATGACAAAACTCTTCATTTAAAAATAATACTGTTTTACAATGTGTACTTGTGTAAAAAGTGGGGCATATTATAAGATGTAAAAGAAAAGCTTTAAGAAATTCTCCAAACCAAAACTTTACAAGTTTTTTTTTTCATATAACGCCTTAAATTTTAATAATGGAATTTCAAATAAGCCAAAACATCTGAACTACTTTTAATTTTTATAAAATTTAATTTTTATAAAAATATTCTCCTAATCATCCTTAAATCCACAGTTAAATCATGAAAATTTGTTTTCTCAATATAGTAAACATTGGGAATTGTTTAGCCAAACCTGAAGTATGGGACAAATTCATAACATTTATGAGTAAATGTGAAAGTCAAAATAAAAAAACATGTAACTATACACTAGAAATTAGGAAAGAGGTAGGAGGTACTGAGAAAGAATACGGAAAGCTTTAAAAAATTAAAAAAATATATAGTAAGCACAATGTATTAGTCTGTTCTCATGCTACTAATAAAGACGTACTCAAGACTGGGTAATTTATAAAGAAAAAGAGGTTTAATGGACTCACAGTTCCACAGGTGCCTCACAATCACAAAAGAGAAGCAAAGTCACTTCTTACATCCAGCAGGCAAAAGAGCTTGTGCAGGGGAACTCTCATTTATAAAACCGTCAGATCTCATGAGACTTACTCACTATTACGAGAACAGTATGGGAGAAACCGCCCCTGTGATTCAATTATCTCCACCTGGCCTCACCCTTGACACCTGGGGATTATTACAATTCAAGGTGAGAGTTGGGTGGGGAAACAGAGAAAAACCATATTACACAACAGTACTTTTTATCACTAAATCTTTTATTTGTAGATGAAACAAAATAAAATATGAACCCATGCAAGTAACTTTTTCAGGAGCAAATTAACTCAAGAATAAAAGATGGAAAACAATCTAAAAAGGAACTTGAAAGGAAAAATAACCGCATGTTGAGTAGATTTATAATGTTATAAGAATATGTTAGCTATAAGTCTTTTCTAATAAACTTGGCCCTTTCAAAAGAATGGAAAAATATAAATTATCATCATTGAACCTTGTTGTTCAATTTTCATCTTTAATGTTTAAATCTTTATTAGATTTAAAGATATGATTAATCATGAAAAATCTTTGAAAGTTAACAAAGTCTATCTAAAAGGGTACATTAGGCAGTATTATGCCCTACTAAAGATGTCCACTTTGGAATCCTCAGAGCCTATGAACATGTCATGCTACATAACAAGGTGAAATTTAGGTTACAGATGGAAGTAAGGTTGCTAATCGCTGACTTGAGATAATGTTATATTACTCTCTGGACCTCCTGTAATATAAAGATCCTTATAAGTGACAAAGGAAGGCAGGAGCATCAAAAATCAGAAAAGGAGATGTGTCAATGATGGAAGCAGAGGTCTGATGTGTTCCTTGCTTGGAACAAGAAAAGGGATTGTCACAAGCTAAAGAATATGGGCAGTCTCTATAAACTGGAAAAATCAAGAAAAGGGATTCTCCCTTAGAGACTTCAGATGGAATGAAGCACTGCCAATATCTTGATTTTAGCCTAGTGAGACCTATTTCAGACTTCTAACCTCTGGGAGAACAAGATAATACATGCATGTTTTTAGCAACCACTAAGATTATAATAATTTGTTACAGCAGCAATATGAAACTAGCACAAATGACAAGATAATACATTCGTGTTGTTTCCAACCACTGTCTATGATAACTTGTTACAGGAGCAATATGAAAGTAGTACAAATGACTTCAAGTCCAGATGTCAGACAGATAAATAGATGATGATAGAAAATTAGATAGATATATGAAAAAAATCCAGTAATGATATTAGTAATACATACATAAAACAGAACATCCACTAACATATGTATACCTATTAATTGAGAACATGCTAAATGTAGCATGTAAAACAAATGGGAAAGGAGAAAGGGCATTACACTAAACTGTACTGTGCTATTTTATACGTGTTTATAGAGTATGAAATTTTTACAACCTAGTGAAATGTTTCCTACCTACACAATACTTGAAATTAAATCCCAGAAGGATTAAAAATGTGAAAGTTTTTTTAAAAAATCGAACCATAAAATACTAAGAGAAAAATATTTGTAAATATATGTAAAAATTGGAGTTGAAGAGAGGCTTTTCACTTTGAACAAATTATCACAAGCCATTGGAAATTTTCTATATATGAAAAGACAAGTGAGAAGCAAGAAAAAAATATTTCCTTTATATGTTATGTTACTAAATATAAAGCTCTCTTACAAGTCCATTTATTTGCTTAAAAATTTAAAGTAAAGTAGTTTTAAAAGGACAACTTTCAACAAATGAAATTTAGCAGAATTTAATTGAGCAAAGTACAATTCACGAATCAGAGCCCGTAGAACCAGGGGAGGTTCAGAGAACTCCAGTATCCAGTAATGGGTAGGGAGTATTTATAGACAGAAAATGAAAGTGAAGTACAGTTTAATTGGTACAGCTTACAGTTAGATTTATTAGACATAATCTGATCCATTGGCAGCCTGTGATTGGCTCAGACTTGGCTATTTCTTATATCACTAAATTAGGTTTTCAGTTAGTTTATATACTAAGGTAGGCTGCAGTTTGTTATGCAGGAACTCAAAGTGTGAAGGCTGCCTCAGTCCAGTGGCTTCCTGCTTATTTAATTTTATAATAGCAATTCACAAATGAAGTATATGCATGTTTAATAAATGCATACTTAAATTTTTTAGCCTTACTTCTTAGTAAAAGAGGTGCCAATTTAAGTCACAATAAAGCATACTTTTTGCCTAATAAACTAGCAATGATTATAACATAGGAAATTGCTCATTGTTGACTAAAAAACGAGAATCTCATTAAACTGCTGGTGGAGGTATACATTTATATGAGCAATCTTGACAAGAAATGGCAGTATTTAAATATTTAAACATATACCTATGCTGTGACTTGAAAATTAGCATTTACAAATTTATCTCAAGAAGACAGTTATTGATACGAACAATTCATCTATGATCTATGGTAAAGCTCTAAGTCAAGATTTTCAAAACAGCAAAAAATGGAAAAGAAGGAAAATAATAAGAGGGGATAACTGAAATAAGTTATGGTACAATATTTGTTGGTAAACTATGTAGTCATAAAAATATGTTACACAGAACTGTATAATAACACTTGGATGTCTCTGTGAATATATGGGGAAATTAATTTTTATTTAAAAAATATGAAAAACTGCATGCCAAAGTGGCCATGCTCCAAAGTGTTAGCAATGGTTATCTCTGGATTATGGATCACTCTTATTTTCTTCTTCTTGTTTACTCCTCATTTCTACTTTTAAAAAGATGTATGCCTAAATTTGTAATGAAACCAAAACATGATGAAGAAATAAAGACCTAAGGCAGTAATAGCTAAAAACATTTTATTGAGATGGAAATAAATGGCTGATTTTAGAGTAAATTGGTAGAGTAACATTCTGGTTCTTCTGCATTGCTACTCATGTGAGGAAAAACCAATACCACCCAATGATGAAATTTGTAACACGGAGTGCTTTGCCTTGGCGATTAATTGTTAAGAGACAAAATCCACACTTTACATTACACTTTCAAGTAAATTGTTTTTGAACTTGCCATACATAGATATTTCTTCTTAGAAATATGATGCAGCCTTGTAACATTCCTATAACCTGTTTTACTACCATACAGTCTCTCAACAGTTTGAACTATTCTGTTCTAAAAGTTCTTAGCGGGATCCTGGAGCTTTCTTTTGGATTCAGGGTACCCAAAATGAAGTTGTCATTTCAAGTCAAATGAGTTAAGACATATTTGCCTCAAGCGTGTGTTTTACTTTTTATATATATAATTCTCATATTAGAAAGTGATTTTTCTGGTAACAGAAGTAGCAGAACTGGTGCCAATTACCTTTGAGCTGATCAGTGATAGTCTACTGTATTTCCAGTCCAATGAATAAAAGACACACATCCAATAGGATTAACGTTCAAATTAGTTTAAGATCAGTGTGTTATTAAATCATCAGATAGTAGTTATCTTTCTGGATGTGCATGCTTTACAAATAAATATTCTGTCAGAAAGCACTTACTAAATTTGTCCTCAAAGTTCAATATTGAACAATTTATATTTTTCCCTCTTGTAGAACATATTGTTCCATTGGCAGTGATATTTAGGCTCTATGCACAGAACTTGTCACGTGCAAATTTGTCATGTGAATTTTGCTGTTTCTTCATCATTGCTTCACCAATTCTTCTGAGTCTTTTTATGTCCATGCCCTCTTTCTCTTGGGCCTTTATATTTTTGTTGCCCACTTACCCAGTTGCCAAAATCTCACTCTACATCATTTTCTTTGGATCTCAGCTAATTGGAGCCTTTGAAAAATGCAGCCCAGCTGCCAATGATTAATCAGGTAAACTGCCAAAGCCTGGTACAACCTGATTTTGCTTCAAAGCCTCTGCCTTCACTGCTTTCTTTCAGCTCTAAATTGTGATTTTAAAACATGTTATAGTCTGCATCTATCTTCAAATTATTTTAGTCTGAGGTAGACATTTTAAATAAATTTAATTCAGTTGTAATTACATAAAGGAAGATCTCAAAATGTGTTAACAAATTTATTCATCATTCTATAGGTAAGAAATTTGTTTATCATTCTATGGGTAAAAATTGGTCCATCCAGGAAGGGGTAACAAATTATTCAAGTAAGACATTTACAAGGATTAATGCCTCAACCAAGCAACAAGGGATACCAGGAGTGATGCTTCTCTTAGGAAATTCAGTAATGAAAAGGATCAATGCAAAGCAAATTGTGGAAGGGTTTACTTGTTCATTTTAATGAAGAAGAGACTATTGGAGACCCTTAACTCATGTTAAATAAGCAGCATCATAGAATGTCTATATCTAATATTAGTCTGACATGGCCTAGCTCTACATTTTTTTGTTTTTTGTTTCCCTCTACTTGCTTTCTAGTTAGGATTCTGAGTTTTCAAGTCTCTCACGACAAAAATACATTAGTTGAATCATCTATTTGTCTTCTAATAGCATTATTTTGTGGTTTCTACAACCCAAATGATTATCAAACCATACTTTTTCAAAATATAAACATATTATAGAAGATTTAGCTTTTTTAAATTTCATAGTATAAATTTATTTTAGATTTTATTAACTATTCATTTACTCAAGGTTATACTTAACAAAAAGTTAAATGATCAATACCTCATCACTAATTTACTTAGTCTATTTAAAATGTTCTCTACTATTATAAGAAAAAATGTAATATTTATAAAGCTAGTAAATAATTAGCAAATATAGATAAGAGTAATGATTAATTTATTAATTTTTTTTTTTTTTGAGATGGAGTCTTGCTCTGTCACCCATGCTGGAGTGCAGTGGCATGATCTCAGCTCACTGCAAGCTCCACCTCCCGGGTTCACGCCATTCTCCTGCCTCAGCCTCCCGAGTAGCTGGGACTACAGGCACCTGCCACCACGCCCGGCTAATTTTTTGTATTTTTTAGTAGAGACGTGGTTTCACCGTGTTAGCCAGGATGGTCTCGATCTCTTGACCTTGTAATCCACCTGCCTCGGCCTCCAAAAATGCTGAGATTACAGGCTTGAGACACCGTGCCCAGACTTATTAATTGATTTTTCATTAACAAATGTGCATATGTTTAGATTCAACATAAGATATTAGTGAATTGAAGTAGCAATTTTTAAAATTGACTCCATAAATATTAGTAACTAATGATTTATTTGTCCAGATGTTTCTATACTTGCATGTTATATATGTTCCTAGGCTATGGTGTTCCTTTAAATTAAGCAGATTTTTCTTTTATTTATTTATTTATTTATTTATTATACTTTAAGATCTGGAATACATGTGCTGAAAGTGCAGGTTTGTTACATAGGTATACATGTGCCGTGGTGGTTTGCTGCACCCATCAGCCTATCATCTACATTAGGTATTTCTGCTAATGCTATCCCTCCCCTTGCCCCCTACCCTCTGACAGGCCCTGGTGTGTGATGTTTCCCTCCTGTGCCAATATGTTCTCATTGTTTAACTCCCACTTATGAGTGAGAACATGCGGTGTTTGGTTTTCTGTTTCTGTGTTAGTTTGCTGAGAATGATGTTTTCCAGTTTCATCCATGTCCCTGCAAAGGACATGCATTCATCCTTTTTTATGGCTGCATAGTATTCCATGGTGTATATGTGCCACATTTTCTTTATCCAGTCAATCATTGATAGACATTTGGGTTGGTTCCAAGTCTTTGCTATTGTGAATAGTGCTGCAATAAACATACGTGTGCATGTGTCTTAATAGTAGAATGATTTATAATCCTTTGGGTATATACCCGGTAATGGGATGGCTGGGTAAAATGGTATTTCTAGTTCTAGATCCTTGAGGAATTGCCACACTGTCTTTCACAATGGTTGAACTAATTTACACTCTCACCAACAGTGTAAAAGCATTCCTATTTCTCCACATCCTCTCCAGCATCTGTTGTTTCCTGACTTTTTAATGATTGCCATTTTAACTGGCATGAGATGGTTTCTCTTTGTGGTTTTGATTTGCATTTCCCTAGTGACCAGTGGTGATGAGCTTTTATTCATGTCGCTGTTGGCCACATAAATGTCTTCTTTTGAAAAGTGTCTGTTAATATCCTTTGCCCATTTTTTGTTGGGGCTCTTTGTTTTTTTTTTCTTGTAAATTTGTTTAAGTTCCTTGTAGATTCTGGATATTAGCCCTTTGTCAGATGGATAGATTGCAAAAATTTTCTCCCATTCTGTAGGTTGCCTGTTCACCCTGATGATAGTTTCTTTTACTTTGCAGAACCTCTTTAGTTTAACTAGATCCCATTTGTCAATTTGGCTTTTCTTGCAATTGCTTTTGGTGTTTTAGTCATTAAGTCTTTGTCCATGCATATGTCCTGAATGGTATTGCCTAGGTTTTCTTCTAGGGTTTTTATGGTTTTAGGTCTTATGTTAAATTAACCAGATTTTTTACAGTATAACATGAAGTTTGAAAATTTTCAAACCATTTTATGAACAGAACCAGTGTTCATTAAAAAGTTGAGTCAATTGAATTTAAAAATATTAATGATAATATAATTACATGTTATAAGAGTTTCAAAGTACAGTTTCAAAATACTAGATGTAAAATAGAATTTGGAAATTGCTTGAAAACTTACATTAAGTGAATTTTAAGGGTATATAATTTTTATTTTCAAAATCACTTAGACATTTTAAGTTTTATATTAATTGATGTACAACAAATTTGTCAAAATTGAAAATAATTCCTACTTCATTTTTGAATAACGTCTTATTGAATATAATTACTATTTAGAATATATTTCTAATCATGATAATGGTAGCAAAAACTCACATCGAAGTGTATTTGGTTGCATATTGGCATTAACACTGAACATGGTACAAATGATGATCCCTTTTAAAGTAATGCATATAAATATGCATATAATTACAGATATGTAGATGATTGGAATGGATAGGATAGAGATAGACCGAGATTGGATAAGTTCTGATTATTTAACAATCACTATGCTAAATGTTTTATGCATTATCTTACTTAGTCACATGTTTAGTAAAGACACAATTTATAAAACTTCCTAATATTATTGGCAAAACTGTAGGCATATTAACACTTAATACTCCTGGCATATAATAACGTATCCTTAATCTGAGTGTAGGAAAACTCTACAACTGGTACATCATGGTTTCGGTTTTATATTTGATTTTGTTATGATTTGATTAGCATCTATATTTCCTGCTAGACCATAAACTCCATGAGGATTGCAGAGACTATGTCTGCTTTTGTTTAGCATTGCAGCCCTTGTGCCTTACCTAGTTATTTAGCAGATGGCAGGAAATCAGTAAATAGTTATTTAATAAATGAATAAATCAAGACATGAATAATGAGTAGCTATAGCATGCTCTCATTATCAAAACATTTTTAATTTTATTTAAGATACATATAGTTTTTCATGTATATGTTCTTTAAATATTGTCCTAATTTTTTGTTAATTACTTAATAAAGATAAAACACTAAAAGAAATACAGAAAATGAAATCCAAGTTTAGAATATATTATTTTAAAGGAAATTTGGTTATGCAAGAATAACTATAATTTATTAAGTGACTTTAATAATCTAGGCATTGTGTTGACTCTTTTTCATAGGTTGCTCATTTTATCCGCACAAAAATTACTTCTAATCTATTACTCCTTGTATAATAGATATTGTTATCATTCCTATTTCACCAATGACTACAGAGTCTTAGAGAAGTTGTCACTTTCTAAAAAACATTCCGTAGCTACAAAAAATCCCTAAGCAATAACAACAGAATTCAACCCATGAAGTCTAACTCTAGTCCTAGATTAGGCACTATAATATAAATCTTTTTATTTTTCCATGCAAAACTATAAAACATGTAACCACATATGCCTGACATTTGATTGATTAAATATGTAGAAATTTTCACAGTTTCTCCTGAAGAATATAAAGAAGGAAATGTCTCAATGTTTAACAACTAGTATATTTCTGATTTTTAAAATTTTCTTAATCCATGGTGTGATTGAAGACTTTTTGTGAGTTCAATATAAGTATCCAGATAATTGCTAGATTAATTGTTAAGCTGATCCTATTAGCCTGCATATCATTTTCTATATGCATGTTAAAAAGCTGCTTTAGTAATATACTTCAAAACCAAAGATTTAACAGTTCTGGGTTGATATAGGGTTATCGTTTAAAATATTTTTTGTAGGAAGATAGTACATCCTCCTTTGAGGTTTACATTCCCCAATATCTAATGACAGAGAATGTTAGTAAAGTGCCAAAATATTCTGCAAAATATACAAAACAATGGATATGTGTTCTTATCAAGGAGCAAAGGTTGGAGATCAATTTTGTTATTAGCCTTACTGGACAATATAGCCTCACTTTGCTGTGACTCTTTTACAGGCACTATTTAAGGTCAAGATATACTGACTAAAAGCACAATTTAACAATGAATTTAGTAATGGTCTGGATATTTCTATTATATGTGTTATTTCTAGATTTGGATAACCTAGGTTAGCACAACCTAGTTGGGTGTGTTTTAGTTTCTCTAGATCCAAGATTCTTTATATATGCTTGAATCTTTTAATCAGAGTTACCAACATTTGAGACCTGGATGTTCACCCAAGGTTAAAGTCTTTGGAATCCTGCCTGATCCTTTCACATTTATATTTTCATATTATGAATTTGGCTAAAGTTGCTATATTTTCTATAGATCAAAGGTGTATAAAGGTGGGCAAAGAATACAAAATGTACCCACTGTTTAACATTTTTTAGATTATGAGTGTGCATTGTACTGATTATCCAGCCTCTGATACCTTAGTATTAATAGAGGCTTATCTTTATAGTAGAAAATGTTTTACTATACATGTGTCCTTTCATGACCTTTTGCAATATTTAGCATTCTTTTTTTGTGAACATCCAAGCCCTAAGCCATGATAACTCTATTAATTAACCACTGTATCAAATAATCATAATTTTGCTTTCTTTTTCTAATGCTCAAATCCTTTCCCTGAACATACCATGTTACTATGTCTTATTACAGATATGTTCCGTTGATCTCTCCTTCCTGCTTCCTATGCAATCAGTAGTGTTGCTTCTGTTTACCTTCCTACTTGCTGCATTTCATGTCCTCCTCTTTATTACTACTACTATAGCCTTAGTTTGTTTTCATCACTTCTCTCCTCTATGATAGTCTTCTAACCAGTCCCTATATCTCCAATTTATGTTCTACATTGTTGCCAAAGACATCTTTCTAAACAAGGTTGATCAGGCTTATAATTATCAATGCGTTCCCAAATTTTAGGATAAAGCTCAAACTCCAAGTTTTACTTGTAAGATTATTGGCTTACCAGTAAAACTTACAAGTAAAACTTACAAGTTTTACTTGTAAGATTATTACTACCTATATAAGCATCAATTCCTGCTATTGGCTACTACCTATATAAACATCAATTCCCACCCTTCCTCAGATTATAGACTCTCTTCTAGCTATATCAACTTATAGTTTACTTCCAAGCCCTCCAAAGCTGTTCACATACCCACTCTAATAGAAATGCTTTTGTCTGTTACTCCTACATATGCTGCTGACTGCCACTAAACTTTTTTGGATCATCCTTTCTACTGGAAAGCCTACGTAAAACACTGTATTGATATCTCTCACCCTCATTTGTGCATATTAATTGTGAGTATGACATGACATCTGTCATCTGTTATAATAGTTGGTCATTTGTCTCTTTGGTGGGCCATAACCTTGGTGATAGGCAGCCTCTAAAATGGCCCACAACAATCTCTGCCTCCAGCTGTGCATAACACTGAATCTTCTCACCTGGGTGTGTCTGAACATACTGTCTTACTCCTAACAAAAGAATACAGTAAAGTAATGGGATGTCATTTCTGATAATAGGTTATAAAAAGACTTCCATATTGGGTCTTCCCTTGCTTTCTTGATTTGAGGGAAGCCAGATGCCACTTTGTGAGCTACCTTTTGGAAAGGTTCATGTGGCAAGAAACTAAGGGAGTCCTGTGATCAACAGCCAAGAAAAACGAGACCCTGGTAACAGCCACATGAATGCAACCACATGAATGAGTTAGAAAAGGACACTCACCCATCCAACGCTTTGAATGAAAACGCTAACCTTTGCTGACAGCTTGACTAAAACTTCAAGAGATTATTTAAGCCAGAGAAAACCCAACTGATCTGTGCCCAGATTCCTGACCCAAATGCATTTTGAGATAATACATCTTTGCTATTTTAACTTGCTAAGTTCTGGTCCAATTTTTAATGCAGCAATAGATAACTAGTACAAGTATAAATTTAAAAAAAAAGACTTATTTGACTTTGAATCATACACACATATAATGGATAAGATTCTCAAAAATTATTTTTTGTTAATTGAATTAATAATATTCTCTTAAACTTTTACTTCTAACCCTTACCAAAATGTTTGAGGCATTCAAACTAACTTTAAGCATTCTGAAAAATAGTTTAAAACTTTGTTCATTAGATAAGAGTAAATCTTTTCTTCAAAATGGAAAACAAAGTCCTCCAATCATGCAAATGCATTATAAATCAATATTTGAATAAGTATACCTAGGGGCATATTTGCAGACTTACAAAGAAAAAATTAAGGAAAATTCTTGGAATGCTTTTCTCTAGGATCATACTTTGAATTTAGTCATATAATTACATTATGTAAAGCATGAGTTTTATTTTTGGTTTTAAAAATCAAATGACTATCACGTAGGTGGCACCATGTCTACATATAATAAGGGTGCCCTATTTCCCTAGGCATTAATTTGACTTCTTAAGCTGAGTAAACCATCTTTTTTTCCTAGAAAGAGAACCCCACCAATTATCCTTTTATTATATTTTCATAATAACAAATATTGCCTCGTGCAAGATTCCCCATTAGTGTTTTATATTTAAGTGTGCAGTCTGTTTAATCCTTCAACTTTATCATACTTCACTGATTAATCTAGTTTAAATACCATAAAAGTCCATAACCATTGCTATAAAAAACTTACGCTTGCTTATTAAACTAGCTACTTTGCCACTGTCAAATGCAAGCAATAAAATTGTGCATAAATATAATGGAAGCAAACATTTTTGCAATTTGCTAGATTCTATTCTGTGCATCTCAATGCCTACAATTTAATTCAAACTCATGCAATGAAACATCTAAAATATATTTTGTATAAATATACTTTAATATTTAAACTGTGCCTCTGGGTATCTGGTATGGATGCCTCTTCATTGAATGGTCCTTGACACTATTGTTCTAAGACAAAAGGAAGGCTGTTCTTGAAATGTTCTCTAAGATTTTTGTGGTGAAGACTTCAAATTCAAAGAAGTATATACAGGTAAAATGTACCAGATTTCTTCTGCATGTAACTGAAATATCTGTCTTTTATCTGACCCATAAATAACCATGGTTGGTACAGTACAAGAGATTTTTATTGGAAGCCTGAAAATGAAGATGAGAAAGAATAATACTTAAAACTTGGCACCAAATGACACCACTTTGTACCTAATTAACTTGTCATTGTTCCTTAGAATTGTTGCCGAAATCTTTGTTGATACAAAAAAGAGCTTTAACAACTTTTCCAAAAATCCTTACTCATGGCATGTTGTCAATAAATCTTTGAAGACAGAGCACTTTAGGGAAGAAGTCGCGTAACTGAAGGATTGAGCCAGATCCCCTCAAAATCCACTCAGAGACATACTCTTAACAAATAACAGCAATGGGTTGTACGGTTAGCTTAAACTGCAGCTTGCTCATCGCCATAATGACAAATTGCTTTTAAATTTGCCTAGCACCTGATTGAGATTAATGGGTTGTTTGGCTTCTTACTCAGCAGTACTATATATATATGTATATATTCATTCCGCTTTCTTGGCTTATCACTATATACTTTTCACATCCATAAGGGAGATTAGTGTTTTTTGGGAAATGGGATTTGTTAATACACATCCATCAACAGAAAACAGAATGAGCAGAGATATACACAAAGAAGAACACATTTCATTTTTCATCAGATTCAGAGAGAAAATGATCTATTTTTCATTCAATCAACGAATGGCTGAAAATATCGTGGATTTCCTATTCCTACTTGTGTCTAAACACAATTCATAAGTCTTAATTCATTAGACTAATGTGTTTATAAGGCAGTTGAAATGTCAAAGCTCTGCTGGATTTAGTATAAACTTAAATTCCATTACCTGGCAGGCATTAATTGCTTATGGAGCATAGGGATTCTTCCCAAGGGTCTTATATGTTTCCTTTTGTCATTTTGCTAACTATTCTGTCTAGACGAACTTAAAGCCCTTAATCCACCATAGGGATCAATAAACTGCACAATAATTCAGTCCTAATAATTAGCTTTCACTTAAACACAAATGGTCATTTCATTGTGAACTGCAGTACAAAATGATAATGAAATAATTAAAAAGACAGATGAAAGAGTGACTTAATAGGAAAGAGGCCTTACTGTTCAATTAGAGGCATTACCATTCAACCTTTTTATTACTGCCACAACCTTTCAATTTTTTAAAAAAATAATACTTCAAGCTCTGCTCATTTAACCCATGGCAGTATCACTATTATATGCATGGTCTTATAATGTGAGCCTTATGCTACAGTCTGCTGTGAAGCAGTTGTCTCCCTGAAATTATTAAAACGGTGAACGTTTGATTCAAAGGTCTATAAATTGTATATAAATCATATTTTACTATATTGTCCTGATTTTTCACATAAGGGATTTTCTTAAGCCTTCCCAATTTCTTTTTAAACAGGATTAGCTCTACATACTTCCTTTGAACCAGCCTCAAAATTGTGTAGAACAGTTTGAAGATACTGATGTTCTGAAATAAATTGTAAAGGCATCTCATTTTCCCCCAAGAGAATTTCCTAGGATAGTCTACAGTACAAAAATTCTTCATATTTGCTGACCTGACAATTTAGTTATAAGTCCAAAAAGGTACAAAACTTCATTAACCTTTTAATACACTCTTACAGATGTAGCGTGATAGATATGTTTGAATCTTTATGATCAAAGCACTAGCCTAATAGCAAAATCTTTCACTTTACCTTTGCCATGTCTTGCTTTCATTTTAATTCCTACTCTATCCTCACATGGATATGGACAGGCTGTACTTCAGCTTTGCCAGTAGCTAGAGACATTCATAATCAATTTCAGCAAAACTTGCTGCTGTTCTTGCTGTTGGCACAGGGGATACAGCCCTTGAGCTTCCCCAGTCTCTTTGACCCCAAGGTAAATGTCTCTATGAAAAGTCTCAGCTCATTAATCCTGATCAAACTTGGGAAGACTCACCACAAGCCAGACATCCCAGGTGAAATATACCTGTATTCTTCAAATACTAAGGGGATCTCTCTGTAAGTTAAAAACACAAATATAAGTCAGATTATGTCAATATTAAAAAGAAGACTATATGACTATATAGAATCACAGTACCTGCCAAAGTGGAGATAAAGACTCAATACATTTTTGGTGAATGAATAAATGAAAAAGTTTTGAAGATTTAAAGGCATGCCTTTCATTTCTCATATCCCTTTTGTTGCTATTACAGGTCTACAATCTCTCAGCTGTTATTTCAAGAAAGAAAAAAAATAGAATAAACACAAGATTCTTCTCCACTATCCCAAGTCTGACACAGACACACTTGGTAAAAACTTGGTCTGAACTTTAAAAATTTTTATAAAAAATAAAATATCTTATAGTATTTTAATATTTTTATGCATATCCCTTATTTCTTTTTTAAAATCTGAATCATTATGAATTTTAAAACATTCAGTGTCATTATTTATCTAGTGAATAGTACTGTGGATACACAGTTTACTAATTGTTGACTATAGTGTACATATAGCCTGTACTTAGGGATAGGTCAGACAAAATTTACCATTGAAATTGGAGTAGTTTTTTGTTTGTTTGTTTGTTTGTTTTTGTTTTGTTTTTGAAATGGAGTTTTGCTCTTGTTGCCCAGGCTGGAATGCAATGGTGATCTCGGCTCACCGCAACCTCCACCTCCTGGATTCAAGAGATTCTTCTGCCCCAGCCTCCTGAGTAGCTGGTATTACAGGCAAGCGCCACCACGCCTGGCTAATTTTGTATTTTTAGTACAAATGGGGTTTCTCCATGTTGGTCAGGCTGGTCTCAAACTCCCGACCTCAGGTGATCCACCCGCCTCAGCCTTTCAAAGTGCTGGCATTAATAGACAAGACCAATCATCTGCAAAATAACCTCTCAGTAGAGGGTTTATAGATGTGGTACTACGGACACTATGGTACTTCCTGAGTTTCTATAAATCAAAAACTATACTGATTTCTCAGACAAATCATAGGCACTAAAAATATTCTCAGTGATGAACTATCATTAAAATAAAATTTTAACCTTAGCAACCTGGTAACAGAAGGCAGAATCTGTGTGAGCTATATTTGAAAAGAAGAATCAAGGAGAAGAGCTGATTCATCATGCCAGTGTTTTCAAAGCTTATTATTTATGTCATGGAAAGAATAATCAGAGACACTGTTAAAAGATTTTTGGTCCCATCCCTGGTAATCCTGATCCACTGTATTTGAAATGGGCTCTAGAAATTCAGCCAATATTGGGTGTATAGGTAAAATTATCTTTAGACTACAGAATGATATCTTGTCCAGTTCAGCTAGTTTGATAACAATTCAAAATCTCATTTTACTTATTTTAACTTGATGCTCACCACACAGTATTCTCCCTGTGTAGTTTTGAGCACAAGGAAGGAGCATCCTATGTAAATGACGCATATTTCGTGAATAAATAAATGGACATCATGGTTTACAATTCAGTGTCTTTTAAGTTCAAGTGCTCACAGTTAAACTAAAGTCAGACCTTAAGAAGTTAATAATAATTGAATAAATTTTCAAATTGGATTTCTGTAAATGTTAAACTGAGAGTCTGACTAAACTGTAGTAAACCCATTAGGACCTTGTTGACCTGCTCATTTTTATCCAAAATAGCCAGTTGGCTTTCTCATTTTACAATCTATCAAACAATATTTTTCTTTTAAAATTTTATTGTTTCTTATGTTAGCATGATATGAGAATGGTATATAGTATTTATAATATTAATATTGACCAGTCTTATCAGCTAAATCAAACATTAAATGATTCACATAATCAGGTGAGCTAATTTAGTACAGAGACTCAGCACTTATCAAATACTAATTTCTATTTGTGACTATTTCTACATTTCTAAAATAAATACAATTAGCGTTTGAAAAACAATCCATGAATGTGGAATATATTTCCATTTACTTGTGTCTTCTTCATCTACTTTGTATACCTATATCAAAGCATCATAGTGTACCCCATGACTATGTACAATTCTGATGTGTCAATTAAAAATAAAATAAAAGAACAAGAAAACAAAACTAAGGACAATATTCAAAGAGTTACATTCAAAAACTAGAAATAGAAACTTAAATTTCATAGAATTAAAACTATTTCCTTCTGAACATGTTGTCATTCTCAGAACTCATAAACATAACTTGATTTCCACGTGGTCCTTAACCTTTTCTTTTTAATCAATTAGTAAAGACTTTTTATATCTTGTTCTTTTTATTGTATTTATGTCGTTTCCAGGCTATATGTACTCTTACACTCTGAGATAGAAAACTGAGAAAGGAAAATGGTCTGAAACCCTAAGATTCAAACATACTTGACTACTGCAGTATTTTGTTCTTTGATTATAATGATTAATTTTGTGAAAAAGTCACACAGCTACTGTAGTCCTCCTCCCTTATCTTCAGTTTCACTTTCTGTGGTTTCAGTTACCTGAAGTCAACTGCGATCTGAAAATATTAAATGAAATATTTCAGATATAAAAATTCATAAATTTTAAATTGTGTGCCATTCTAAGTAGCCATATGAAACCTGATGCCCTCCTGCTCATCCCATCCAGGAAGTGACTCATCTCTTTGTCTAGCATACCTACACTGTTCATGCTACCCATCCATTTGTCACTTATCAGATGGAAAAAATGTAGCATATATAGGGCTTGATATTATCTACAATTTCAGGCATCCACTGGGGGCCTTGGAACATATTCCTGGCAAATAAGGTGGGACTACAGTGTTCATTAAGTAATATTCAATTTCTTGATGGGATATTGCAAAAGTTAAATGGGATATTATAAATCTAACAATATATGTGCTCCAACAATTTACCTATTCACAGATGACTTCCTCATTCGTGTGTGTGAACATAGCTATATTTCTAAAATAAATATAAGATGCATTCTTCATTTTTCAAAATATTTTGAAAGACAGCATAATTGCATTTTATATGTACCTGGAAGCCAGAACATTTGAAAAATCTCATGCTTTAAAAGAATTGTAAGGTCAGGGAATTGAGACTACTACTATTGCCTTGTAATTAAAAATGTACTAGAGGAAATATCTCAAAATTAAGAGAGTGCTAAAAAGGAAACCATAATCTAATTTGCTTAAACTGGTATAGATACCACTTTTTCTGATTGTACTAATGCAGTTTTTAGTACATAGTTGTGCATATTATAAAAGGAACTGTAGTAACATATATGTGAGGGGAAAAAAGCCTTAACTTATTTAGTTGACTAAAAATAGACATGCTTAAAGAATCGTTTATTTGTATTCAGTGTATTTTCTCTCCTACTAATGTATGAGCTCTGTTTCACTACCCAGACATTTTGCAGGTAATTAAAGGAATATGTTATCCATGAAAGTTAGAGTTGAGTAAGTTAAATCAATGATCTTCTACCCCTATGACCTCATACTGAGAGGGAGTTATTAGGTACAACTTTTCAATAGAAAATTCATACATCTTATACCATATTATTAATTCACTTCATAGACTATTGAACACTTCTGTTATAAAAAGGTAACCAAAATTATAAACATCTTTGAGCCTCTATTCTTTATCCAAAAGGGAGGCTTTTTAGCAGTCATATTGACATTTATGACAATTATAGGATACTTGTGAAAGATATTTACAATAAAACTGTATGTACAAATTTATATGAAAGCTATGAATCTACTAGAATATATTTAGCTTTTCTTCCTCGATTCTTAGAAGAAGATACATGAAACAGAAATTATAGTTTTAAGTGGTCACCCTATGGTAAGCTAAATTTATTTAATTTATTTATATGCAAATCCCCTCTTCTGCATTACTCCCATAAATAATTCATAATTACATAGGAAGAGAAAGTATAATCTTAACACAGATATAATTAACAATAGAAAGAATGAGTTGTTCTGAAAAAAACTTTTGACGAAAGTCAGTTGCTGTCACTGGAATTTTCTGCTTTTTCGTCCAAAGACCACTGGAAGACAGATTTTGTATTTCCCTGTCAGCTCATGTTTGACTTTTGCCATTTACATAAATACAGTGTAAAAAGTCATAGAAGAGGTAATGGGTGCTTCCAGCTTTTCTACTAACATAAGAAAGATGCAAGGGCTATAATATTCTTAGTCATTGACATTTACAACTATGGGTTTGTTTTTAATACAGGGCAGTGAGCAATGTACTTAAGGCCTCAGAAAATGCTTTATGGCATACACTAAAGGTGAATCACTTTTTTACTAGATTTATTGGCTGGAGGAATTGTAACCTCAAGAGGAAATTTAGCCAGTTTTAACCCAAGTAGTGCTTCTTATAGTTATTTCCTCTCAAATTCTCAGCAGGACTCAAGCATTCTAAATGTCCTATTCAGGGATCCTGATTTCCTTCCCCCAGCTGGTTTCCAGCACCTTGGGTACTGACAGAGTACTCATTAACAAACTAATTGATTTTTATTAATTATCTGTGGTATAATCTTTCCAGTGTTTTCCCCCCTAGTATCTAAGCTTATTAACTCCAAACATACATACACACACACACACACACACACACACACACACACACACACACACCCCACAATTAGTCCTAAAGAAACTTTGGAATGAGAGTGAACTCAAATATGCAGATAGATTGCACAAATCAAAATGCGATTGTAAAAAGGTTAGATTTATAGAATTATAAATATTGAGATAAAAAGAAACATAATTATGGAGAATATCCATTAAAGTAGCTTTAAAAAGCAGTTCAAATATTAGGATAGACTATGCATGCTGTACTTAAACTGTGTTTATAAGGAAAAACTATTCAAATGAAAACATAGCAGTGGAGAACAAACTCTCAGCAATGCAAGAGAGCAGATACTTTTTCATACTGTCTGTCAGAACTATTGGACACAATCTTTAATAAACTCTCAACATTAAATCCATTACTAAAATGTTATTAAGACCTTAAAAACACATACAAGTAAATCTAGAATTGTTTATTAAATAGCCTAAGAAGGAAGAATATAATGGTATTAATTGAAAACCTGGAAGGCTGAATAAAAGTTCCCATATCCATGCTCCTGCTCTGCTTCATTTCAGCTATGTGACTTTGGGCAAGTTTCTTAATGTCTCTAAGCCTCAGTTTCCTTACTTGTAATACTGAGATAATAAAAATACCTTCCTCATAGGGTTGTTGGGAAAGTAAAAGAGATGACATTCAGTACCATGCCTAGCACATAAATAAGGACTCAGTAAATGATACATGTACAATGACTACCACATTATCCTTTTAATTAATCATTCTTGCATTTATTGATGTGCCTGTATCTTATAGCTTATTTTATATTGACTTTAAAACAAAGTTACTCTAAATCAACTTGTTTGCTTACATAGTATTTTAAATTGAGCCCTTCATAGGGTCCAGTAAAGATTTCATTATGCTACTCCTTACCTTTCTCCACCACACAAACACACTTTCTTCATCATTCTGAATACCACAGGCAGCACAGCTGACTTCCATCTGGTTATCATCTTTACTTTGTCTTTTGATCAGTTTTCACATTCAGCCACCACTGGATCTAAGTGAGTTTTCCCTGTAAATGTCTAGGCACTGTGTTGTTCTCATTATCTCCATGGCTTTACTCTGAGCTATAACACTTACTCCTGTACTGTTACAGTATCTTCTTTATTGGCTTTCAAAACATTTAGGATTAAGTCTCAAAAAATTATTTTCTTTAGCACTTAGTGTATAGTACCTTTACTAAAATATATTAGGGACTGGCAGATGAGAAAAATAAATGGCACAGAATCCAACCAGTGAGTAATTATCTCCCTCCAACATTTTATTGAGGGTTAACATTTATTTTCTCAGAAGTTCCTAATACATGCTTGAATCAAGCTGGGCCTCATATTTATACTCTTAAGAATTTATTTATTTATTTCAAATACATCATTTATTGCTAAAAGTGCCCATGCTTTACTTTTTACCTCCTCTCACCAGAATTAATGTCAGAAACATGGTCTTGCCCAATACATAGCCTCTGCATTTCTTTTGCATTTATTAATTCATTCAACTAACTTGTATTGAGCGACTTTCATGCATCAGGCAATATACTAAGCACTAAATTTTTTTAAGCAACTGAGATGTGCTAGTCCCTTATCAGAAAACAGGACCAATGAGAACTATCTGACAGTCATAGAGGATTAAATTATATCATATGTGGATTAAATTGTATCATTTGGTAACTACAGCTTATCAAAATTGGACAAAAATATTGTAAAACAGAGATGTTCTAGTGGCAAACACTCCTGGGGCTTCTTATTATAACGCTCTAATTAGTCTTCAGTCCATAGAAACATGTTATGGTGATTGATAGACAATTCCCTTCTAAGTTATGTAACAGCATGTACAAAATCAGAAAAGCATTAAAACATCAAGAGTATCTGGGAAATGTCTGATGTACCTGGGAATAGGATTGATTTAATGGAGAGAAGAAAGAAAAGGAGCTGGATAAGTAAAATATGAGTAAAACGTACAATTGAATGTATAGACTACAGGAGCTTGTGTTTTATATTGTTGGTTGATGGTGTTTAAATTTTGGTGGTTCAGCATGTGTTGACCTTGTCCCAAAAATACACATGTGTATATCCACAATTTGTTACGGGATTTCATAGAAATCTAAAACCCAGATTATAAATTCCTGCTTAGGCAATGGGAACCCCAAAGAGATTTTTAATAAGTGAAGCTGAATCATGCAGTTTCTGTGGAAGAATATTCTGGATGCAATATGAAAGAAGGTTGGAGCATGGATGAGGAGGAAATTTTGCTGACCAGGAGAGAAGTGAGGAGGCTATTGCAATAGCTGAGATCAGGGAAGAAAGGCATATTGGATAAATGTCCTCATCTAGCCTTCCAAAGTTCCTTGTGCTTACCTTGACACACATTGTTACTCATTAGTAGTTATGTCTCCTTAATTCAAATGCAAGATCCTCCATCCCAGACAAGTAGTATCTCTACATGGAATGCTTGAATGAGGCTAAGGACATCTACAATAAATGAGAGGAAAAATCAGATATTGTGAACATTTCTGTGATAGAAGTAATAGAATTTGGCAATTATTAAATATAGGATGTGAAGGAGAATCATTAGCCAAGGTTGATTCCACTGTTTCTATCTTGGAGACAGAGAATGCAATATGAAGATTTAATTTTGTTAGATAATACCAATTTTGCTTTCAAATGCAAGTTATGCACCTATCTTGGTATTAATACTGATAATACATTCAGGAGAGAGGTCAATATAAGAGCATCATATGGCATCTGTAGTAAGTGGATGGTACTTGATATCCGCCAGTGGATGAGATGCTGCAGGGAGATTATGCACAATAAGATGAAAATCTAGAAATTATCTGTATTTAAACACTCCATGGAAAAGAAGGAGCCAGCAAAGAAGACTTGGAAAGGATAGCCAGATTAATAGAGAAGCAAGAGAAAATGACGACTGAAAGTCAAAGAAAGTGAGAATCCCAAGTATTGCAAAGTGGTGAAGAGCACAGAGAAGTCAGGGCAGGTAAGATCCAAAAGCTATTGCTGATTGGAGATATGTGTATTTCAGGAAAGTATTTTCAAAAGAGCAGTAGTAGCATAAGCCTAATAGAATACTAAATGTCATTTGGTGATGGGAAATGAAAATGAGAGAATATACACAAATTTTTCAATCAAGGATGACTTTGAATAGTAGTCATTTGATGGGAGGGAGAGGGGCAAGAAACTGTGATTTGTAAAGTTGTCTTTTTTTTTAATAGAAACTGTTGGAGACTTAAATGAAAGAGGAGAAGAAGGCCTGAAGACACAGGAAAAAATAATGTACAAAGCATTTCTAAGTCAGTGAAGCATGAGGAATCCAGTGCACAGCATCTCCGTGAAGAATGAAGGAAAGAAAGGCACCTCTAAGAAAATGTCTATCCTTAAATTAAACACTAATGTATGATAAAACGTGCATAGTAGTCTATATTCCTGTTTAGACCTGTGGGGTTTGGTGACATTTGCATTTACTTTCCTTGATGCCTATTAGAAAATGATTACCATGAAAGCAGATAATAATACCTTCTTTGCATCTCTTTAGATATTTATCTCTGACAAATAGAAGTAAACCTCAACAAGATAGAAATAGATTAAATTTTTTTGGTTGTTGTTGACCTGCTTATTTTACCTATATGAAAACTCTAATTTCTGGACTCATTTCCAGAATTTTCCCTTTTAAGTAATTATAGAATGTTCATGTTATCCTCATTTGGACCAAAGCTCAATAAAGTCAAGTGACTTCTATGTCCATACCTAGAAACGGGCTCAAGAGAAACAGACTCTGTTCACTTCTGTCCATTCCCTATCTTTTCCCATCTCTTCTCTCATTCATTTCTCACCAGAATTCTTTTTTTTTCCTTCAGGAAAACAATCAACCAAATAAAGATAAATCAAACTCATATAAATCAATGCAAATGTCCAGTGGATATAGTGGGCCAGTTAGCAGGATAAAGGATGTGCAGTAAACCCCTTGGCCCGCTGGTCATGGCTCATCAGGTTTGCCCACAGCCAGTCTTCGAATCCTAATTTAACTAAATGGGGGTAGTTTAAGTCCTCCTTAAATGCAAAAGCAATCACATATTTTTTTCATTCCTTAATATATGTCAGTGACTTCTCATTGTTTTCTGATTACGTTAAAACCCCTAAAGATGTTGACGAATTTTTTCATTAACCACTTTCAGTTTTTTCTAGAAATGGAAATTGTCCTCTCTACTCTATAAAATATCTATTTCCTCAGTGCTTTGATTTATACCTGTTGTCAACTTAAAAAAAAACTCAATAAATTGATGTATTAGTCTGTTCTCACACTGCTATGAAGAAATACCAAAAAGTGGGTAATTTATAAAGAAAAGAGTTTTAATTGACTCACAGTTCCACATTACTGGAAGGGCCTCAGGAAACTTACAATCATGACACAAGGTGAAGGGGAAGAAAGGCACCTTCTTCACAGGGTGATAGGAAGAGGAAGTGCGAGCAGGGGAAATAAATGCCAGACACTTATAAATCCATCAGATCTCATGAGAGCTCACTCACTATCCTACGGGAATAGTGTGGGAGAAACTGCCCCCATGATGCAATTACCTCCACCCTTGGTCCCACCCTTGACCCATGGGGATTATGGAGATTATAATTCAAGATGAGATTTTTGTGCAGGGACACAGCCAAACCATATCATTCCACTCCAGCCCCTCCCAAATCTCATGTCCTCACATTTCAAAACACACTCGTGCCTTTCCAACAGTCTCCCAAAGTCTTAACTCTTTCCAGCATTAACTCAAAAGTCCACAGCCCAATGTCTCATCTGAGACAAGGCAAGACTCTTCTGCCTCTGAACCTGTAACATTAAAAGCAAGTTAGTTGCTTCCTTGATACAATGGGGGTAGAAGTGTTGGGTAACTACACCCATTACAAGTAAGAGAAATTGGCCTACATAAAGAGGCTACAGGCCCCATGCAAGTTTGAAATCCAATAAGGCAGTCATTAAAACTTAAAGTTCCAAAATGATCTCCTTTGACTCCTTGTCTCACATCCACAACATGCTGATGCAAGAGGTGGGCTCCCACAGCCTTGGGTCACTCTGTCCCTATGGCTTTTCAGGGTACAGATCCCCACCCAGCTGCTTTCATGAGCTGGCATTGAGTGCCTGTGGCTTTTCCAGGTGCACGGTGCAAGCTGTAGGTAGATCTACCATTCTCGGGTCTGAAGGATGGTAGCCCTCTTCTCACAGCTTCATTACACAGTGCCCCAGTGAGGATTCTGTGTGTGGGGGGGGGAGGCGGGGTGTCCAACCCCACATTTCCCTTCTGCACTGTGCTAGCAGAGGTTCTCGATGATGGCTCCACCCCTGCAGCAAACTTCGGTCTGGACGTCCAGGCATTTCCATACATCCTCTGAAATCTAGACACAGGTTCCCAAACTTCAATTCTTGGCTTCTGTGCAACCACAAACTCAACACCATGTGGAATTTGGGGCTTTCACCCTCTAAAGCAATGGCCCAAGCTGTACCTTGGTGCCTTTTAGCCATGACTGGAGGTGAAGCAGCTGGGACACAGGGCACCAAGTCCCTAGGCTGCACACAGCAGGAGGGCCCTGGCCCTGGCCCAGGAAACCATTTTTCCCTCCTAGGCCTCTGGGCCTGTGATGGGAGGAACTGCTGTGAAGGTCTCTGACATGTCCTGGAGACATTTTCCCCATTGTCTTAGTGATTAACATTTGGTTCCTCGCTATTTATGCAAATTTCTGCAGCCAGCTTGAATTTCTCTTCAGAAAATTGGTTTTTCTTTTCTATTCCATTGACAGGCTGCAAGTTTTACAAACTTTTATGTTCTGCTTCCTCTTGAACCCTTTGCCACTTTGAAATTTCTTCCACCAGATACCCTAAATCATCTCTCTCAAGTTCAAAGTTCCACAGATCTCTAGGACAGGGGCAAAATGCTGCCAGTCTCTTTGCTAAAGCATAGCAAGAGTGATGTTTATTCTAGTTCCCAAGAAGTTCCTCATCTCCATCTAAGACTACCTCAGCCTGGACTTCATTGCTCATATTATCAGCATTATTGTCAAAGCCATTCAAAAAGTCTCTAGGAAGTTCCAAACTTTCCCACATCATTCTTGTCTTCTTCAGAGTCCTCCAAACTGTCCCAACGTCTGCCCATTACCCAGTTCTAAAGTCACTTCCGTGTTTTCAGGTATCTTTACAACAGCACCCCACTCCCAGTGCCAATTTACTGTGTTAGTCCATTCTCGTGATGCTGTGAAGAAATAGCCAAGACTGGGTAATTTATAAAGATAACAGGTTTAATTGACTGACAGTTCCACACAGCTGGGAAAGCCTCAGGAAACTTAAAATCATGGCAGAGGACGAAGGGGAAGAAAGGCACTTTCACAGGGCGGCAAGAAGGTGAAGTGTAAGGAGGGGAAATGCAGATGCTTATAAACCCATCGGATCTCATAAGACTCACTCACCATCACCAGAACAGTATGAGGGAAACCACTCCATGATCCTATTACCTCCACCTTTGGTCCCACCCTTGACATTTGGTGATTATGGGGATTATAATTGAAGATGAGATTTTGGGTGGGGACACAGCCAAACCATATTAATTGGCTTTTACTAACAGAACACCAATTGATTATAATTTAATGAGACACCTATAGGGAGCAGTATTTTAACTTAGACAGTGATTCTTTAGTGATGGAGTTGCAGGTAGTATCTGATAATAAAAATAACAAGCAGTCCCTGTGTTTCACAAAGAGAAGTTGCTAGTCTATTTAGAAAGAAGTTCAGACCTGACTGCAATTACACTTAGATTTACATCTTTAAAATATCATATTAGAGTATTTTGTATTGGAATATAAATATTTATAAGTTATTTATGAAAAAATCAACAAAAAATAAAGTAACAGATCAGGAATACATGTACAATAATGCAATGTGTGCCATACCATTTATAATAGTATAAATCTAAAATTATGTCAAATTTCTGACTATAGTTAGAAAGTTTAAAAATTACTTTCCTATGATGAAAATTGTACTTTCATTAATAAGTCAGTCTATTTAGTTATTTTCACCAATCTGCCATTTATGTATACTTCAAGATCCTGTGAAATAATATATGAAATAAAAGATGTTTTAAACAGAAGGTGCTTATTTAAAATGTCTTCAAGGGAGTGAATATCAACAGTCAAGACTTCTCAGTTTCAGAATATTTTACCCTCTGTGTACAGATCTCTAGCAGAAAAGGGCACCAGTAAACGTCATTAGCATGCTTTCCCAGGTACATATAGCCTCTATCTATGCCTATCAAAATTATTTGCCTTCTTTTACTTCTATTTTAGCTGGAATTTAATACATAATCTTCCATGGTACAATTCACCAAAATGGTTTGTGCCAAGTTACTTTATTTATTACTTCATGCAGAAGAAAAATTTTTAATTATTTTTCTATTATGGTAGAAATATTTCACATGGGGTCTAGCATGCTAACACATTTTCAAGTGCACAATACCGTATTGTTAACCATAGGCACAGTGTTATGCAGCAGATCTCTAGAACTTTTTCATCTTGCAAAACTCAAACTTTATACACAGTGAATAGCAAATCTCCATTTTCCCTATCCCCTCAAGCCGCTGACAACCAGTATTCTACTCTCTGTTTCTGTATTTGACTATTTTGGATACCTCATATGTATAGTCATGTAGCATGCATCCTTCAGTAACGTTTATTTCACTTAGCATAATATCCTCCAGATTCATCCCTATTGTCACATATTGCCGGATTTCCTTCTTTTTTGAAGCTGAATAATATTCCACTGTAAGCATATGCCACATTGTCTTTATTTTTCTTTTGGTGGGAATTTAGGTTGTTTCCATATCTTGGCTATTGTAAATAATGCTACAATGAACACAGAAGTGCAATTAGCTCTTTGAGATCCTGATTTTAATTCTTTTGAATAAATAACCAGAAGTAGGATTGCCAGATCATATGATAGTTCTATTTTTAATTTTTCGAAGAACCTCCATAATTGTTTTCCATAGTGGCTACACCCTTTTACATTCCCACCAGCAGTACATGAAGGTTCCAATTTCTCTGCATTCCTGCCAATAGCTGTTCTTTTCTTTTCTTTTCTTTTCTTTTTTTAAATAGTGGCCATCCTTACAGGTGTGAGGTGAGAGCTCTCTGTGGTTTTGATTTGCATTTCTCTGATTATCAGATTATTGATGTTTAGCATCTTTTCATATGCCTGCTGGCCATTTGTATGTCTGTTTTGGAGAAATGTCATTCAAGCCCTTTGTCCATTTTTAATTGGTTTTTTTTTTTGCTATTGAGTTATTGCTATTTCTTATATATTTTGGAAACTAACCTTTTATTAGATATATAGTTTGTAAATATTCATTATAGGTTGTCTTTTTGTCTGTCGGTTTTTTTTTTTTTTTTGAGAAGTTTTTAGTTTGATGTGGTTTCAACTTGTCTATTTTTTTTTTTTTTTTCCGAGTAGGAGTCTCGCTCTGTTGCCCAGGCTGGAGTACAGTGGCACGATCTCGGCTCACTGCAAGCTCCGCCTCCCAGGTTCGTTCACGCAATTCTCCTGCCTCAGCCTCCCGAGTAGCTGGGACTACAGGTGCCTGTCACCACACCCGGCTAATTTAACTTGTCTATTTTTGTTTTCGTTGCTTGGAGTTGTACCTAAGAAATCATCACAAAGACCAGTGCCATAATGTTTTCCCCTATGTTTTCTTCTAGACATTTTACAGTTTTATGTTTTACGTGTAAATCTCTAATCCACTTTTGAGTTGATTTTTGTGTATGGTATAAGATAATGGTCTAATTTTATTTCATTCATTTCCAAGTGGATATCCAGTTTTCCCAGAATCATTTGTTAAAGGCTATTCCTGTCTTCTTATACATTCTTAGCACGCCTTAAAAATCAGTTACCTATATATGTGTGGTTTTATTTCTGGACTCCCTATTCTGATTTTTATGCCATTACATTAAATGACAAAATATAATATCCTACTTAACAATCTTCCTCCATGAAATTGAGATTGGTGACTATTGGCCAAAAAATGAGAATAATTTTGATAAAAAGGTGGAGAGAAAGACACGTCTGTAATGTCTCCAAATGTTATCTGTTTTTTAAGACCTTCTACTTGCCCTTCAAATTTTGTGCAACATATCAGAAGAAATCGTACATGATTTTCACAGATTTTCCACTGAAATTATCACTTGGACAACATATTCTTAACATCTTTTAGCTGTAGTTTTTGGTGGGTAAGTGAATTTCTTTGATTAGTGTAGCTTACACAGAGGGACATGGAAATAGGCTATTCATGGATGTCACTGCTTCCTCTGGTTAAGCTGAAAACAGCACATACACACAGGATACGGCCAACCCATAGAATCCAAAGTACATGAGTTGAAATAATTCAACTTGCGAAAATCCAAAACACATCTCATCTATTGACCAATTCAAATATTTATTATTGATGTTTCATTTGATGCTAAATGGCTATTTTTAAGGGTAAGAGATTACAAACACTAGCAAGCTTTAAAAAAAAATACCTGTTTTTCCCATTGTTAAGTAAGCAAAGATGTGTCATCTAAAAAGAATAAAAACTATTCATAGTTTATTCAATTTTTAACTCCTTCTAAATTTTGGCACTTCTTACTTTTCATAGTTCTGGAGGAGGAAGCAGAAGCAAATGAAACAAAACACTAACAAAAAACAAATTACTAAGAACTAGAGAGAGTGTGAAGAATGTGCCTAACAGTTTAAAAGATTCAACTTTGTAAACCAATCAACACATTTTCTTTAGTATGTAAATGTACCACATTGTATGATTTTTCAATCAATAGTGTGGTAGGAAATTAAAACTCTACAACCACAGAGGAGATATAAACAGGAAGCACAAGTCCCCAAGTTCTGATGAGCTGGATTGGGGTTTTGCTTTTGTTTTCATTTTTTTGAATCATCAAAGACAAATTTAAGGTAATAATTTTATTTCAAACAAATAAAACACACACAAACAACTGTTCAACTAGATTATGTAAAATGTCCACTGATAGGAAAAGGAAAGAAAAGTCTTCAGTGGTAAGGAAAGAAACAAAATAGGTTCAGAAAAATATTCTATGTCTAACATGAAAGTTCTAAGATCATTTTGTCAGACATAACAAATTAGATAACTACAGAAATGGCAAGTTATGATTTGTGGTATTCCTGAACTTCTATTTACTTCTTTACCAAGCATGTTACCTCTTTGTTAGATGATAAGATTTAATGGAGTCATGCTAATAGAAATAAGCTAGTATCTTGGTGAGAATATTAGAATAGCAGAGTGGAAAATCAATGATTCTAACTGGTTAGCTCTTTTGAAAAATGTTCACTTGGGCAAGGAGCAAAGGAATTAGATGTCTACGTTTGTGCTTTTATTCTTGTAGGTCAGTTAATAGTCCTATCACAGGGCCAATAGAATCTCCTGATTCTGTTTTATGCATGACAACCAGTCAGGTGATATATTGTTATTCAAATTCCAGCATAATATTCTTTTTCTTCACTGTGCTTAATCTGTAAGTAAATTTACTACTCACAAAAACGTGCTGTTGACAGTGATTAAATGCTGCATAGAAAGAGTGCTGTTTACCTGTTTCTGTCTGCATTCTCAGTTTCAAGCACCAACATTAAATGAAAAATTGTTCTAGTGTGTGTGTGTGTGCATATAAACATATACATATGTATTGGGTATATAACAGGTATATAACACACTTGCATGTATGTAAGCATATAACATAAAATATACTTTGACTCAGAAGAAAATAATTTTTAAATAGTAGCTTCATTTTCCTTCTTTACTGTAATATGTCAGCCATGTCCTGGACATTCTGCTTACGGTAGCATATATAAGAACGAGAGTCTATGAAAGAAAGTAGCCATGAAAAAAATGAATGCATTTGTTAAAGCAAAATTGTGTGTGTGTGTTTGTTTAACTAATGCAAAAATTTGCTTAACCCACATTTGTTGATCTCTTTTTACTGTGTTTCATGCTCATATTTTGAAACATAAAATAGAAAAAAATTGTTTGTATAATTGAGGGAAAGTCTATTCTTACTACTTTGGTGGAGTATTTGGAATCAATAAATACCAAAATGCTCTGGAAATGGTAACTCTTAATAAGATAAGAATATTTATACAATTCCCAGAGTTATTTAATAAATGTGAAGAGAATGATGGGTCTGAGTAGAAAGTATGTTTATTGAGGTCTAAAGAATGGAAGTACACTAAACTCAATGCTGTACAGGAAAGTGGACTGGAAGTCAGAGATCTACATTCTAATTTTTTTCTAGCTACATGATCTTGGATAAATCACTTAATCTGCCTGAAAAGAAAAACATGAAATTTTAAATTGTTTCTAAGTATTTTTTTCTAGGAATATATTTTCATATATGCTGAAATAACATTTTGAGTAAAAAAAGTCTACTCGTTAAAGTACTGACTTTTGGGACCTAGTTTATAAATCTGTATTCTATTTATGAAAAAGTATGCTTTTTCCGATAATATCAAACTATTGTTAAGGGCATATTTACCTCATTTAGGGAAATCTGCAAAAACAATTTGCCAAGAAGTCATTTTCAAAGTTATAGAAATGTCAAGTTTTACATAGGACTGCTAGAAATGTGAAAAGTGATTATTTTTGCAGGCTCTTATTCTAAGACCTAGTTTTTATGACTTACTACTGATAAACTATTTGTATGATAAGCTGTATTTTTGCAATTCTGAATTAATGATAAGATAATTTCCGGAAGTGGATTGGCATTCAGAGTATCTTTGTTGACAAGCTAAAATAAAGGCTGACTGAATTTTTCTTTTTAATAGACTTTATAATATTCAAATGCTTTAGTGTATGATGAAACAGAAGGAATATCAAATCTGATACATTGAATCCCAAGCACCTGAATGTGATCCCTATTACATGCCATCTGTGTAGAGCAGAATGAAATAGGACGTGGGAGATATCTGGAGATATGTAAGGGGAATGGCAAAAAAAAATGCAAAAAGGGCACCTCAGAGGAAAAATCCCTGTGTTATGAGCCTTCGTGAAATACCACCTTGATACATTAAACACAAATGCCCCTTTATTTATGAAATTCTGGTATAATAATAAAAATAAATTAATTTGAATGGTTTCTATTCATTCACAAATCCCAAGTAACACTTTCAGCAATTGAACCTGTGCCCTCCCAACCCTGGCTCATTTTTGTTCTGCTTTGTGTTTAATCTGGTAACAATTCTACCAATAATTTGCCTTTAATATCAAGAGGCAGATCAATTTCATAAAGGGCTCCATGTAGAGTGGATTTATTCTAGGGCTTTGAGCCACTGTACCTCTTAATTTGAGACTATTGGATTGATCCTGTTTTGTTTACACATATGTGTGTGTGTATATGTATGTTTACACATGTGTGTATGTATACACACACACGCGCGCCTTAATTTACAATTAATTTGCCCTTATCAAACCTTGGGAAACACATTGACCCAAAAGTGAAACAAACCTCTTGAGAACACTATCAGTATTCCTTTTCAAAAATCATGTAGCTAGACTTCACCTTAATAAGGATTTGGTCGGAAACAGATTTGTCCCTTACACAGAGCCTCTGCTTGCTTAATTTTTTGTGCAATTTGTAAAATATACTACAGTGTCTATACCCTCCTTTAATTGGTAGGTTTTCTCCCAAACACCACAGCTGAAAAAGTACCAAGATACATATTTTAGGACCATTCATCTTCTTAAACTGCTTATAATTGAAGGTTAGAGAATTTTTATAAAATACTTTTATTAAATGCTCATATTCAATTTTTCAAAGTAACTCTTTTTTTCAATCATATACTGGTATATTAGCTTTCATTTTTAAAGGACAGCATATTATTTTGAAAGCATTAATACATTTTGATTTCTTAGTCAATTACAAAATAAATACAAAAATGAAACATTTTGTAAAATATTCTGTTTAAGAAAGTCATCAGTTACCTCAAATGAAGTAGTCTAAGAGGAAAAAAGATAAAGCACCTGAGTTCCAAGAATATGTTTTAGAAATTTTAAAATGCCATTTTAAATGTCTTAAAGAATTTCTGGTATTTCCTAGTGATCATTTTACCAAGCAGTTTAAATTAAAAACTGGACAATTAATATTTTTAAAAATAAAAAATAGATTACACAAAGAAGTAGAAAGAGTCTTATTTAATGAAAATAATGGGTAAGAATAATAAAATCTATAAAAAAAGATAAAGGAAAGAAAAGTCTCTTTGGAAATATCCTGGTCAAGTAGATTATACTTATATCTTGTTTTATAGTATAAGCCAGGCTGAAGTTTTATAATGAAATGACCCTGACCTGAAGCCTCCTTTGCAAATGACTAGTGCCTTAATTATTTGCATCTGTGAACTCAAATGAACATACTTAAGGATATATCAATACGCTCATAAATCATCTGCAGGCGATAAGTAGTCCAACATAGATAATTAGAGAATTTACGGAAGGCTTACTCCCTCTGTTTATCTGCTTATGACATTTGTGGTACAGCCCTAACAGCAGGATAATTACTAGATTTATTCATCAAACAAAATCACGCCTTCTGGGAATGCACAGTGACTCCGGTTTTAGGACTAATAAAGACATTTTTCACCAAAACTCAAGTACTAATTTGCTCAATAACTAGCTGCAATAAGCTTTTATGGAAGCACTCAAAGAAAAGGCTTGGCACCAGAGGGCAGATAATTAAAGGTGCAGTATCCCTATACAAAAGGATCTGAACAATTCCCTGACCATATTAAAATTTAATTGTTGAATGTTAATTGAAAAAAATATAAGTTGCTTCTGTTCTCTGAGTTACAGTAATTATTCTCCTCAGATCAAAAACATATCTGTATGTCTAAGTTAGCAACAAAAGAAAACAACTAATAAATGCTCTAAAAACTTATCATAGAATTAATATCCAAGTAAATATAAATTAAAATTAAAAATATTTCTACAACACTGATCTCATTTAAAGTCAGCACACATTTGATTTGAATTTTTTCTCCCTTTCTCTCTCTCTATTTACCTCCATGCAATCCTTCCTTCCTCTCTACAAATAGAAGAATTATGGTTGATTAACTTGTTTTTCTGTAAAAGTTTCAAGAATTTTTGTAGGTGATAATGGCCCAAAATGTTTTAGTGATTTGTAAATATAAGTATTTCTTAACTGCATTTTCCCTTCATAATTTTTTGAAAGTCTGATATCTTTACTTCATTAGGACTTCTCTTTTGTATTCACAAAAGCCAGCTACTTCAAATAAAAAAAGCATTATTGATCAAACTCATTGAGCATTAGTTACAGCTATCCCAGCGCAGTTTGCTTTTCCAAACAGAATCTCAAGAAATTATTGAGTAATCAAAGTTAAATTCTAAATGTTTACATCACTGTTCTGCTGAAAGAAATAAGAATAATGAAGTGTTGTTATTTTTTAAATGTTTCCACATGGGATAGTGAGGTTGTTCCCCTGGAATGTAAGCTTTTACTACACCAGAATCAGAAATCTTCAGGCCCTTGGGCTCACCCTCTGCTGCAGAGGAATGATGAACTACACAAAATGCAGACTTTTAAACTCATATTTAATTGTTTAATGTCATGGCTCTTGGTAGAGCATTGTTGCTTGAAAAATAAATTGGGTAATTCAATTAAATGGCTACAGAAGATACATCATATCAGATGTAGAAAGGCACTAACCCGAGCTTGAACTTGACGTCCCACATCGCTTCACTTATTTGACAAATGGATTCTTGAAAATAATTGAAACACATGACTGCCAGCATAGGTCAATAATACTTTTTTGCCATTCAGCCTCTTAACAGCTTCCATTTTTTCTTGCACTGTGCCATTCAGGGCAAAGATTGCATTTGCCTGGTAAATCATGCAAGCATTATTACTAAAATGGGACTAAATGCAATGAAAATGGACTACATAAAAGTAATGGCACTTAAGTAAAAGGAAGACCATCTACTAGGGCAAACACTAAATGTCAGAGTTAAATACTATATGACATTACTTCCATTACAAGCTCATATTATGCACATAAGAAAGCAAACTCACTAACTACAGCTGCATACTACATTTTCATATTGTTAACTTAACCAATGTTTTCAAGACACTACTGTTAATCCAGATTTAAAGCAGAACTACATATCTGCTGTTTCAAGTTTTCTCTCCCATATCTCCTTGGGCAGAACAGATACACTTAGGCAAAAACAGAATCACTGCCTAAATCTTCAAAGGACCATCATTAACAGATTTAAAGACTAATAGTTATTCTCTTGGAAAACACTAAGGAAAGAAAAAATTACAAACAGCAAAGAAACTTAAAAGCATTGTCCAGTTAAAAAGGTTTTGAAAGAAAAAAAAGAAAATGTGTTTTAACCTATGTTACATGAATTAGGAAGTATAGGAAGTATATTGAAAAAAAAATATTGGTTATTTCTTGAATCTCAATTTGATTGTATTAATATATTCTAAATGGTTAAGAGGGAACTAGTAGATAGAGCAAAATCTGAAGATCCAAACAGAAACTGATCTTTTCTTGTTTTTCATTTGTAAACAGAGACTGCCAATTTCTTAATGTTTTTGGTTTGGTGTGGTGAGGTTTTTGATAATAAAAAAGAAAAGATGTCCTAGTTTTGTGATGTTCAAGCTTTCAACAGTTATTTCACAATTAGGCAATACTGCTTAGAGATAAGAATGCAATCAAAATGCCTGGGATTGACTCCTGCCTTCTGCCATCAGCAAGTTACTTAACCTCTTTATGCCTCAGTTTTCACATCTGTAAAATGAAGATAAAGATAGTTTCTACCCTCATAAGTTTCTTAAGAGGATTAATTTTAAAAGGGCTTAATGGAGTGCCTAACAATAAAGGCTCACTAAATGTCTGCAGGCACTGTAAATAAAAAAGTCTGAATCAATCATAAGGTATTTTTTAGAAGGAGACATTCTGAAATGAGTACATATGCATTTTGACACTGGGAGTCCCACTTAAATGTTCTCATCTCATTTTTGATTTTTGACCCTTTCTGGACCATAAAGCTCTTTCAGCTTTCAATTCATTGATCAAAATGTCTTTCCATAAAGAAAGAAACTTTTAAAATAATTCCTTAAAGTTATACTGCAACCTTCAGCATCCATTGATCTGAAACTTCAAATGAACCCGTTTACCTTCCTTTAGGGGTTAATTGACCCACTTCAGATTTCCAAAGTTTATTAGACAACTCTTTTCTCCAATCAAGGTAAGTAATAGAAAAGCAACTACTTAGACTTCTTAAAGAATGTGATTATTGCTTACAAGGCTCTCCATTTTTTAGCAAGTCTTCATTTCTTATTATCTTTCCCATTCAGGCAGTGACACTTCCTTTTCCCCAAATCCCCAATTATTCAGCTCCAGTAGAGCCACTCCTTGAGTCCACATGTCTATTTCTGGGGAAGAGAGGGTTGATGGGAAAGGCTTCACCTGGCTCTACTCTAGTTCTGCTGTTTTATGTTTCACAAGATTTTGTGTATTAAATAAAATAATTCAGTCAAGAAAAATTTACTAGATCTGTGAAAGTGAGTTTCAAAACTTTAGGTTTGTCTTGGGCTTTCAGTGAGCTAAAGCTTTGTTAAAAAATGATGTTCAAAACCCCAAAACACTAGAGTAGATAAAAAAACAGAGTAATCTTTGTTGTCAGAACTGTTCTTCAAGCAATACAAAGAAAAAAGAGGTAAAAATAGCTAAATCTGCAGAAAGAAAGGATAAATCACAGATGAGACACAATTGCAAGTTTTAAGCATCAGGATAATATTCTTAATGTATTATGAAGTCCAATAAAAACAACAGATTAACGGATTCATATCTACTATTCAAGTGTTTAATGAAATTAGTTATTAAAATAACAGAATTTTTTGTCTTCATACATAAAATGTAGTAATTTAAGAATTGTTAGCCTTGCATTGAAATATTGCTTTTTCCTCTGCTATTCACTGCATACTATGATGTAATATTATTTTACATATTCTTTTTTCAAAATATTCATTCCTCAAATATAAAAACCAAGGACCAAAAAGCAAGAACATTTTTACGCATACTCACAGAAATAAATGTATTTCATTTAATTACAAAGTGACACTCATATAAAAAATAGATCATGTGTATTAAAAAATACAATTTTTTCTTTACAAAAGAAATATTCTAAAGGGAAAATATGCTGGCCCAGGAGCTTGATTTAGGCTGGGTATTTCAAAATTCTCGAGGCTTACTTTTCTCAATTAAGGATTATGGAAGCAATCCTGGTAAGCCTAAAGGGTTTTGAATTGTGCTTGTAGAACATTAAGCAAACATGGGTATCTCCAGATTCACAAAGCTCCAATAAAACCATGTGTATATAATTAGATCAATCAACAGGAACCATTATGAGATATATGTCAGAGGAAGTCTCATAACAAGCAGCCATATAGAAAGAATTAACTCTATCCACCTAAGGCCTTATCCACTCAATACACAGACATCACATAAATTTATAATGGTATTAAATCTATTAATGGTATGAGGAATAAATATTTATTAAATCAGGCAAAGTACATTTTAGTGTACTTTAAATTAATAATTGACAAAAGCAATGAATTTTTTCACCAAATAAATAAGGTGTTTTCTAATGTACTCTTTCTTTTCTGAACACAATACCAAATACTACTACTGTAACTTGGAAAAGCAGACAAAGCAAGAGGATGAGTGGCATGGAAATAAGCTTTTATCTTAAAATTAGACGAAATGAAAGAAAAAAATAAAAGGCTAACCGCATTCACAAGCCAACAGCTCCTAACGCTGCTCTAAATTTTCCTTTGACTCTTATGGCTGATACAGCCCAGGATATAATTAAACAATTGCAATAATGCTTTGTATAATTGACTCCAAAGCGTTACAGCATTTGTGAGTTTTTATGTGAATACGTTTCAGAGTAAACATAGTACTTTATAGTAGGAAAGACGCACCTTGAATAGATTTGACTCTAAATCGTAGAGTTCAGTGATTTATGTATACACCTGCATTAGTTTGCTAGGGCTGCCATAACAAATACCTTAGACTGAGTGGCTTTAGAAAATTATTTTCTCACAGTTTTAGGAGATAAAAATCCAACATCAAGGGTTCTGAGGTTTGGTTTCTTCTGAGGCTTCTCCTTGGCTTGCAGATGGCTGCTTTCATTCTACATCCCCAAATGGCCTTTCCTCTGGGTGCGTACACTGTATACTAAATATCCTCTTCTTAAAATACACCAGTCATAGTGAATTAAGGCCCACTGACATGCCCTATTTTTAGCTTAATTTAAGGAGACTATCTCCAAATATAATCACATTACAAGGTCCTAGGGGTTAGGAATTCAACATACGAATTTTGTTGGCACACAGCTTAATCTGTAATAACAAAACCTTTAACATATTATTATTTTGTAAATGACATTTCTAATTTCAGTCCCGTTAAAACTATTTGTACTAATTATTGTGCTCAATCTTACACATCTCTAACATAGTGGCTTTCAGACCATAGCATTTATCAGAATGGCCTAGAGGGCTTGTTAAACCACAGATTCCTGGGCCCCACCCCCAGAGTTTCTGATCCTTTGGGTCTGAGATGGGGCCTGAAAATTTGCATTCTGACAAGTTCCCACGTGATGCTGATACTACTGGTCAGGGAACTATACTCTGAGAACCAGTGATCTAGTACAAAATTTCCAAGACAGAATTTTCGTGACAGTGTTTCATGAAATGTTGGCATGGATTCTTATAGAAAAGCAATTAGTAGTCAAATTATTCTGGATTGTGCTACATATACTAGTATCCTCTTAGAGATTTTAACATATTGAAATACTAATAACAGACATATTTAACACATTAAAATTTCCAAGGATTCTTGCAATAAGAGAAAAATTAGTTAACTGAGTTTCTACACTTACCTGACTATGTAACTCAGTTTTTCAAGTAACAGCTTTTAACATATCATGCGTATCTTTGGAAACATTGGTTTAACATCTTAAATTGTCTCACTTCAAACCAACATTTTCCAAACTGTTTCATGGAGGGCGAATAGGTATTTCATGCAAGCATTAATATTATATGTGTTTCAAAGAAGAAGAAAGGTCATCCATAATTTGGGAAATTCTTCAGTAGCAATGTTTTACTTTATTTAATTCTGAATTGTAAAAACTTGCAGGGATAAGAACTTTTGTAATTCACATTCTACGTTTCATGAAACACTAGCAGCGCCCTGAAACTGAGATTTATGATCAATATATTGAATTATGACTAACAAAATTTCCAATTTAGATATTTTACCTTAGTCCATAATTAATCCTACACACAGTGTCTTTTAAGACTAGAAATATAAACACATATATGTACATGTAAACATACACACATATGTACACACGATAGCCCATCTACCATTATCCCTAATTTGTGTTTGAGTCCCACAGATTTGTAATCAGTAAATGAAAAATGTAGATGATCAGTGTAGATAGGAACAGTTCTAGTGTTGCCATATGAGAAAGATATAGGAAATGCATTCAACAATTGATTACATATCAAACACAGGCCATTTTGGTTAAAATATTTTCACAAATTAGAAGGATGTGTTCTTACGGTCATTTTTCTACACAGATAAACACTATTTCTCAAATACTAAATTAGAGGTGATTAAAGGAAAAATAGAACTAATATTCATTGAGCAATGATTATGTTTTAGGAAATATGTCAGTTATTTTACATTCTTTACCTTAATTGGCACCGTCATTAACCTTGAATATGGGCATTATCATTTCCATTTGATGGAGGAAAAAATTAAAGTTCATGAATGCAACTTAGTTGCAGTAAGATAAAGGGATGATAAAGACACTGCCCCTGACATCAATGCATTCAAAATCTTGTGAAACAAGATTTGAAAAAATAACATATGAAAAATTATATACATGATTCAAGCCGTGAGAAGGGGCTCATGAAGATATTTTTTTAAAGTGGTGTGAATCTCCTACCAAAAATCAAAGAAGACTATTAAGTGGGTATGGAAGCACTGAGGTTTAGTGGCTAAGAGACACGTTTCATGGGTTCAAATCTCTGCTCTGCTGTTAACCAGTTTTGTCATCTTAATCACGTTACTCAAACTCTTCAAACATGTCTTTCTTCATTTATTATATGTAGATCATAATTGTATGTACTCCATAAAGTAAGTGTAAAGATTTAATAAGTTAATATAGAAGGCATGACTCATATTGATTACCAAAGAAGCTTATTATTATATTTTATCAAGAATATGAGATCTAAATGAAAACATAATAGTAGCATTATTTTATAGTTTATATAAAATGCAGACTTTAAGAATAAATGAAATTAATTATGACAATACCAATAATTCTACTGAAATGTGAAATATATATATAAAATAAATGGTGAATCATGATCATGAATTGATTCATTAGAAAACATATCTGAGTATTTTTAGGTAAAATTTAGCTAGAATTTTAAACCCATTTTCTCCATGTTTAGACATTTCTCAAGAAGAGTTTATTTTTAAAAGCAATGTTACTATTAAAAAGACTAAAGGTTATTTATTAATCAAGAGAGGAGACCATTACAACAATTCTTTGAAGATAACTAACAATCTATTTTTTTAAAAAATAGAGTAACCTAATAAAGGAGGACAATAAAACCTCATTCTTCACTTAATCATTACAGATTTTCTACTGTGTTGAAAGCCCACACTATGGGGACCATAGATGCGACAGATCAGAAGATGAATAATTCCTTCCATCTATAATCTTATGCTTCGTAGTAGGGAATGAACAATCAATTAATGAAGAGCTATAATGTTAGATTCCAAAAGAAAGTGGTGAATTTTATTTTCCTTAAAACAAGAAAAAGGTAAAAAAAAAAATTTAAAAAAAAACAGTCAACTTAGAGTTGGGCTTTGAGACAGAGAAAGATGGGAGGAGAGAGAATTGCACATAAAAGGATCACCATAGGCAATTGCACAGACAAAAGAAATCACAGAGGAAAGTGTTGCTTAGAGGGAAAAATATTGTTTAACTAGAAAATAGAATTATCTAAACATGTTACAGGAAACTGTTTTGAATATACTTCATGTCAATTTGGGCAACTCTAAACACAGCAGTTACATGCCAAAAACCTAGTTAACTTTATCTCTTAAAGTCTGTATTTTAATCTTTTAAACTAAATTTAATTTGTATTTGTGAGGTTAGAGTATATAATTTACTAATCTTTAGATTAGTGAAATAGTCTGAGGAAGAAGGTATATATAGGATTAGCATAGTATATAGTACAAAGGCAAACCTTATTTCACTCGATTTAAAATATTTACAAATTATAATGATGGTTAGTAATATGTAACAATAAGAAAAGTCTGAATTAATAAGTGGGTAGGAGAATAGAATTCTGTTTCATTATTAATATCGAACCACCTTTAATTGATTACTTTTATTGCAAACACTTGAACTTCTCTTTAAACTAAGTCAATTCTCCTAAGGTATTATGTCATTTTGAAATACATTGAGAAGTTTTACATTTTGCCACTCTGATGTTTCTGCAATGGAATTAGTCAAGGATTATTATGAAAACCAATAGCAAGTGAAAATGATTTTCGTTTGATAGTTTTGATAGTGTCGTGGCTCCTCATTATATTGCAGGAATTTATTTTCTATCAGTTTTTTAAGAAACAACTGGACCACACTATTATAATGACACTCTGAGCAGAGATTTCTTTTAAATACACAAAAATGACATGGGGAAGGGATTTGCATATATAAAATGAAATGTCTGTAGAGGAGAGCATACAAATGTTACAAGTACAGAAATATAAAATTGCCCAACAGTATACCTGACAACTCTGCTTCTTTAGTCCTTGACAAATGTGTATGACAAGAACTGAGTAAAATCATCATAATAGAGTGGTTACTGTTTACATAATTGCATATAATTAAAACATCCCAATAAATAGATTCCAATCTACCATCCAATTGTCATGGGGAAGTCTGAAGGATCCGTGATGATGATGATTTTATATATATACAATATACAATATATAAAAATATATAATATATAATATGTAATAAATAATATATACACAAGCACACACATATTTAACCATACACATGTACACAAATACATATATATGTATGAATACACATGCATACGCACATATACATATTGTGTAAACATTTATATCTATGTTATGAGTGCATTTGTGTGTGTGTATATATATATACACAAACACATGCACATATCTATTATGCACACACATACATACATACACATTATACACACACTCATGTGTGTCTCTGTGTGTATTTTCTGTGCTCTCATCTGTCTTCCTATCTCTCCCATTCTCCCCTTCTATAGACAAAAGTAACATATTAATTTCTTGGCCAGGCGCGGTGACTCATGCCTGTAATCCCAGCACTTTGGGAGGCTGAGGCAGGCAGATCTCGAGGTCAGGAGATCGAGACCATCCTTGCTAATACGGTGAAACCCCTTCTCTACTAAAAATACAAAAAATTAGCCGGGCATGATGGCACACGCCTGTAGTCCCAGCTACCTGGGAGGCTGAGGCAGGAGAATCCCTTGAACCTGGGAGACGTAGGTTGCAGTGAGCTGCGATTGCACCACTGCACTACAGCCTGGACAACAGAGCAAGACTCCATCTCAAAAAAAAAAAAGTAACATATTAATTTCTTATTGTTTATATAACAAATTACCACAAACTTAGTTATTGCTATGGTCTGAATATGCTCCTCAAAATTTATGTATTGGAGATTTAATCCCCAATGCAACAATGTTGGAAAATAGGGCATAATGGGAAGTGTTTAGGTAATGGATTAATGCTGGCCTAAAAATGTCTTACGGGAGTGAGCCCTCTTGCTTCTGCTCTTCTACCACGTGACAACACAGAATTCAATCCTTTTCAGCCCTTCCTCCTGCCACCATGTAAGGACGCAGCAAGAAGATGACCTGATCTTGGGCTTCTCAGCTTCTGTAACTGTGAGAGAATAAATTTCTGTTCTCCATAAATTATCCAGCCTCAGGCATTTTGTTATAGAAGCACACAATGGACTAAAACAGTGGCTAAAATTAATATAAATTAAATACTTAAGGCATGCAGAGCTTAAAACCTAGATGACAGGTTGATAGGTGCGGCAAACCACCATGGCACATGTATACCTATGTAATAAACCTGCATGTTCAGCACATGTATCCCAGAACTTAAAGTAAAATAAATAAATAAATAATCTTAAAATTCTGGAGGTCAGAATTCCAAAATGGGTTTTAACTTGGCTAAAATCAAGGTATCAGGAGAATTGTCTTTCTTCTGGAGGCTCTAGGGATTCATCTCCTTGCTTTACTCAGCTTTCAGGTGGCTTCCTGCATTCTTTGACTCATGGTCCCTTTCTTTCTTCAAAGCCAGTTATTGTATCCCTCTGATCTCTGCTTCCATTATCACATCTCCTTCGCTGACTTTTATACCTTCCCTGACTCTTCTACCTTCCCCTTTCCTATATAAAAACCTTGAAATCATATTTAATCCACCCACATAATTCAGAATACTTTCTCCATCAAAATATTCTTAATTTAATCACATCTGCAATGTTAAGTAACATACAGATGCTGGAAATTAGGATGTGGATATCTTTGAGGGTCATTATTATGGGTAGTATAAGTAATAACATGCTTTACCTTTCTTCCCTCTATTTCCTCAACTCTTAATACATTCCTTGAACTACTTCCATTGGATGTTTGTCCCAGTCATTGGTCTAATATGTTCCTATCAAGATCATAAGAATATCCTGCTGCTGAATGTTACAAGCATGCTCTTACCTTCACTGACTACTGTCTTTCATTTTTATGTGTTAACTCCTCCTTTTCGTTTCAAACAGTTTCCCCTGGGCTTCTATGCTGCTCTCTTCTTTCTCCCCATGAACATTCCAGGGTTCCTTCATAGTTTCTTTTATGGATGACTTTTTCTTCCCCCTTTTCTCTGGCTGTTGTCCTTTACTTTGTCCTACTCTACTCATTTTCATCAAGTCCCATGATAGCATCTATGTCTAAGGCTTCTAAGGGGATTGGTCCCAAATCTCTGTCTCATTTAGACCTACCTTTTTAACTCTATATTAAAGCTATGTGTACATTTTGATGGCCAAAGGAAACTTTAAAACCAACATTTTTTTTTATGGAAGCCCAAATTTATACTGTTTTCTCTCCCTTCCCTCCTTCCTTCCTTCCTCTCTCTTTTCTCCCTTTTCTTTCTTTCTATCTTTCTCTTTCTTTCTTTCTTTCTTTTTTTCTTTCTCCTCTCTTCAAACAGAAATATCCTTTTCCTGGTCACAAATTCAAAAAGTATACAATTTTTCTTAATCTGTCTCTCTTCATTCAAATCTCACATCTAATCTTGCCACATAATCACCAAATTCTCTTGTTTTAAATTTCTTAATATTTCTTGAATCTAGTCCATTCTTAGCATCTTCTTAGTTACTTCCCTTACTTCAGGTCATACTAATTTTTTACATTTACTGATTCGGCTTCCTCCTAATTAGTCCTTTTTTGTTGTTCCAGCCTTAGCTTTCTGTAATCCTAGCCTCCACACTGCTACCAACATGACCATATGCAAATATGGTAGTCACAACACTACTTAAAATTCTTCAGTAACTTCATTATAAAAACATTAATTCTGTCTTTCCATTCCTCACCCATCATTAAATTTCTTGCATGCATAGAACTGGTTGCTTTTCCAGGTCTCCTTGTTGCTTTACCTTCCATGCTAAGTAGTTTCCTAATGGCTTTCCTCTTAATTTCATTTTCTGGAGTATTCTGAGGTTTAAATGAGGTAATGTAAGAAAAACTCACAGCACAGTTTCTAGAATATAGTAAACATTCAACAAAAATTAATTGCCTCTTCTCTCCCTCTCTTCCTTCTCTCACTAGGATTTTGCATGTAATTCTCTTTTCATTGATAAGTATTATTCTCTCAACTAGTCAAATATTGATCTTTTGGCCATCCATTTGCCAAAGCCAATGTCAATACACTTTTCCTCCTTTGAATTTTATGAACATACTCTATTTTTAGTTATAGAATTTCAATTAAGCATTCTACCAACCATTTGACAATGAAGTCCTAAACTATTAACCTATTGTAATCCTCAGCTAATTCTTTAGCTTCTTCAATTTAGATAAATATTTTTCTCTTATTTTAATTTCAGTCAAGCAATCTGTAACAGAACCACTGACATATTATATAACAATACTATATGAATGTTTATTATATATCCATGTGAAAAGGGAATTTCTACTCACAGAAGTTTTCCTGTTTCTGAATTTTTAAAAATACTCTTACAGATTCCACCACCTTTAAGTTATGGCATGTTAGGCCTTCCTAATGAGCTTGCACTTTTGAATCTCTACAATCCATAGATTAAACTTCTACATCATCTCCCTTCCAATCATTTCTCACCACCTCCGTTATCTCCAGCCTGATCCACTCACCCTCATCTCTAGCCTGACTTATTGCCAAAAGACTCTTAACTGACCATCTCATATAGCCTATCATCTTTTCCCAAACCAGCAACCAGAATCATCCTTTAATAATATACATCAGATAATAATATAAATCAGACTTCCTATCTGTCTCCCTCTGAATAAAAGCATTGATTTTACACAAGCTTACCATAACTGACAAGATTCAACTTCTGGTTGGTTCTACCCCTTCTGCTGTTTTTCTCACTCTTTTTGCTCCAGCCCCTCTGGTCTTCTTGCTCTTCCTCCAATTACCAGGTGTTCCCTAAATGGGGTCATTCACCCTCTCTTCTGCCTGAAGGATTGCTTCTCTCCATCTTTAGGTCTTAGCTCAAATGTCACCTTTTCATTCAGTCCTTTCCTGATCACCTTACAGCTGATACTTCATATGTTTTCTTTCCTGCTTCGTCCTTTTCCATAGCCTGGAAAACCACTATTTTAATTTTACTTTTTAAAATATGTCTTAACCTCCTTCTTATTATAATGTAATGGCGATGAGGACAGGGGTCTTTTCCATTTTTGTTCAATGAAGTGTTGGTGAGAAACCCCCAAAATGTCTGTTGTATAGTAAATGCTTACTTAGTAAGTATTTGGAAAATAAATTAGTTTCTGTGAGATTCTGAGAAGACTAAGTTGTCTTCGCTTTCACTTGCCATCCAGTTTTTCAGCTTATTTTGGTTATTTTGAGAAACATGGGTGGTATATTAGGTTGGCCAGAAAAAAAACTAATGAAATAGGAAATAAAATAATATTTTGGCCCAAAGCTGATCCTAGATGCCATAGGCCTGAAAATGTAATATGGGAATTTAGCACTGGAGTTTTAAAATAAAGGTAAAACTCATCAAATCAATTTCAAGTGTGCATTAACATTTGTAGAACAAAGCCCACAAACAGGAAGGTATTTCATGTTCCTTGTTCAACAGAGGATGAACATGTATTTTTCAGAGCTAAGTAGCATATGAGTTACAATATTTTGAGCCAATGTTGTAGTTAAAACTTGCTGCAGGGACTTCCCATAGAATAAAGGAAGGTAATCATGTTACAGATTTAAGACACTTAGCAAATTATGTTACATCTGCATGAAAATAAAAAAGAAGAACATTCTTGAATATTAAACCTCTCTGGGAATCTGTATAAAGAAAAATAGTTAAATAATTTTTACATGTATTCTTCTTCGTATAAAACTATTTTTGGATTTTCAGTAGGAGATTTCTGTGTGCCTATACTATATCAAATATTTTTATATTATCACCATAGTCAACTTCTGTGTAAGTTCCCTTGTAGCACCCTCTCTATATATCATTTGAAGGTTTCACTCAAATGTAATGTAAGTTATATTAACAATTGGTCAATCATAATTATTCTTGTGTGCCTTTCCTTCAAGATTTAATGGCATATATTTTTATTTCCTACATAAAAGCTGAACCATACCAGGTAAACTAACATCCTAACAAAATGAAACCTCTACCCTTGAAAGTATAGTCACTTGGCAAAATGTAATTCAACAGTTAATATCTGAATTTTTCTATTAGTAAAGAGCCAGCTTCAAATGAGCTAGAAGCCCGTCCCCCCTAAAAAAAATCTATAGTAATGATAAGTGTGGCTTTAATAGGTCACTTAACAGCATATAGAGAGTTTTCAATCCTCTTCATCTTTTGAGGACAACAAAACTAATTACGTCTCTCTAGCTGTCAAGATTACATACAATCTCCTAAATGCAGTGGATAATACAATTTACATATGCTTGCCCTTCTTCTGCCTTAGTTTTTTTCTTCTAAAACTGTAACATAAAGTAATCGCATGTGCATTACAAAGCTCTCCTGTAAAATGATGGTAAATTGTAGGATTCCTCTTCTCATGAGGACACACTAACCTAAATGTTTGACTCTAATCAGATATTTTCAGAGGATTCTTATATTACTTAACTTTTTCATAATTATCCAAAATATAACCTAAAAGTTTCCTTGAATTCAAACCCTAGTGCTTAGAAATCTAAGGTGAAGGATCTTCATGGAAAAGATTGTGTGATAAAGTAAATGTTCTCCCAGCTCTATTTCCTTGACTCACAAAATATATTTGGAATTAAGGAATAGAGTTATGTTCAATCAAATTTGTAGGTTATAGATAAATCAATATATATGATGTGATTATAATCTCATCTCCAGCTTTTTTATACAAATGTACCTTTAGGGATTAAACAGTTTTAAGGATTACAATTGGACTTACCGACTACCTTCAGTTCTTCACTGATCCAATTTTGCAATTCTGTAGATTGTTAATAAGTAAGCAATATAGATGCCCTAGAAATTATGTGGATGCAATACCTTGCAAAAGGCAATCATTACAAAATATTCACATTCTTGAGAAAACATACAGTTGGTGAAACTCTAGGCAAAAACACATCTACTAATTAATGATGTTGAATATAGTAGCAAACTTAAAAAACACTCTATATTGATTTCATAGACCTTTAAAAAGACTTTATTCTTTTTAGAGTAGGTTTACAGCAAAATTCAAAGGAAGTTTCAGAGATTTCCCATATAACCCCTGCCCTCATACATGCACAACTTCCCCCATTATCAACAGATAATGGTGCCTTTGTTCGCCATTCACCAGAGTGGTACATTTGTTATAGTTGATGAAACTTAACCAGAGTGGTACATTTGTTATAGCTGATGAAATCTGCATTGACACTATCATTGACATTATCACCCAAAATCCGTAGTTTACATTAGCATTCACTCTTGGTCTTGTACATCCAATGGGTTTTGACAAATGCATGATAACATGCATCTACCGTTATGGTGTCATACAGAATAGTTTCACGGCTCTGTAAATCTCTGTGTTCCTCTAGTCACTCTATTCATCCCTCACTTTTCACTGCTATCTAGCAACCACTGATCTTTTTACTGCCTCCATACTTTTGCCTTTTCTAACATGTCATTGTCTTTTTTCATTATCTGCTGCTGTAATAGAATACTTGATACTGGGTAATTTATAATGAACAGAGATTCATTTGGATCATCATTCTCTAGTCTAGAAAGTCAAAGATCATGATGCCAGCATCTGGCAAATGCCGTCATGCTGTTTCATCATCATCTAGTAACAAAAGCAGAGGGTAAGAAAGGGCAAGAGCAAGAGGGCAAGAGAGGCTGAATTTGCTTTTATAACAGACCCACTCCTTTGATAATCACATTAATCCATTTATGCAGGAAGAGCCTTTATGCCTAATCACCTCTTATTAGGCCCCACCTTCCAACACAGTTGCATTGGGGATTAAGTCTCCAACACGTGAACTTTGGGGAGCATATTCAATCAATAGCAGTCATATTGTTGAAATCATACAGTATGTAGCCTTTTCATATTGGCTTCTTTCATTTAGGAATATGCATTTATATTTCCTCCATATCTTTTTGTAGATGGTTACCTAATTTCTTTTTAACACCAAATAATATTCCATTATCTGGATGTACCAGCTTCTTTATCTATTTACCAACTGGAAGACATTTTGGTTGCTTCTAAGTTTTGGCAATCATAAGTAAAGCTGCTTTAAACACCCATGGGCTGGTTTTTTGCATGGACATACATTTTCAACTCCTTTGGGTAAATACCAAGGAGCACAATTACTGGATCATATGATAAGAGTATATTCAATTTTGTGAGAAACTGCCAAACTTTTTCTCAATGTCATTGTACTATTTTGCATTTTCACCAGCAATGAGTGAGAGTTCTGTTGCCCCACATCGTTTCCAGCATTTGGGTCTGTCATTCTAATAGGTGGGCAGTGGTATGCAATTGTTGTTTTAATTTGCATTTCTCTGATAACATATGATATGGAACATCTTTTCATACGCTTATTTGTCCTCTGTGTATCTTCTTAGGCAAGATGTCTGTTAAGGTCTTTGACAGATTTTTTAATTAGGCTGTTTGCTTTTTTATCTTTGAGTTTTAAGAGCTCTTCGTAGATTTTAGATAATAGTCCTTTATTGGATATGTCTTTTAAAAATATTTTCTCCCAGTCTGTAGCTTCTCTTTCTATTTTCTTGACAATATTTTTCACAGAGCAGAAGTTTTTAATTTTAAGAAAGTCCAGCTTACCAAATCTTTCTTTCATGGATCATCACTTTGATGTCACATCATCAACCCCAAAGTCATCTAGGTTATCACATATGTTACGTTGTAGAAGTTTTATATTTTTGCATTTTACATTTAGGTCTGTATTATATTTTGAGTTAATTTTTGTGAAAAATGTAAGGTCTGTGTCTACACTTTATTTTTGTATGTGGATATCAATAGATATTTTTAGAAGCTATTTCCTCTATAAGATTGACTATGACATATGTATGTGTGTGTGTGTGTGTATATATATATATATGAATACACACACATATATATTGAAATATATATATATTTGAAGACTATTCGATTGTATATAACTCAATTTTTTTCATTCCCAAGAAATAGATATCTCTGAAATATCTTAGTAAAACACCAATGTTGATCTTTTATTTATACTTTGACTCCATTTTATCTAAGAGTACTCTCATGAAAGGTGTTAAGCTGAGCTCACCAACATAGCAAAGTCATCAGCTTATACACCATGCAGTATATACAAAAAAAATACATTAAAAAAAACTCTACTTTCTCTCCCTATCTGTATTCCTTCTGTAGCTGCTACAGTGTACTGGGGAGACAGCAGAATCCTGTAGAATCCAGTGTCTTTGTCAGCGAAACCCTGGAAACTTCCAGGTTCCCTCCACATCCTCCTGAAATCCCTTGGCCCTTGACCAGCACATATCTTTACACCTTACCCAACTCAAAGCCTCAATTCCAGCACTGTTATCTAACCTACCCATTATTTCTATCCTTATACAGCCACAACCCTATGATTACAAAATGAGGTGAATTAAAATGTAACAAATTTTTGTTCTCAAAGGAATTACAATTCAAATAATAATAAAAATACATTATAAACATAAGTGAGTATTATAAAAGTGTGGGAAGAATGTAAACAAACCACAGAGTTAGTACTAGGTTAGGGGCTAGAAAAATATAAAAGTATCATTATCACTCCTATCCCTTGGCCTGAAAGGGCAGGGGAGACAGCATTTTCCAGAACCAGGTGAGACAGGGAGAGGCCTGAGTGGCAGAGCCATCTGGCATGAGCTGTAACTTGTGATGGAGAGATGCAGCCAGCCTCAAACAAACCTGCAGAGAGGGATGTGGAGGAATAAACCCCAACCTCTCTTTCTTCCCTCCCATCCCTGTTGAATTCCACATGATAAACCCAACAGGAAGCTAGAGGTCCAAGAACCCTATTGTTATAATCCATTCGGAAACACTTCTTAGGGCACAGAGAAAGGTGAAGGATGGAGTATTTGGAGAAGCAAATGGAAGAAAGATATCCAGCACACATATTTAAAAATCTATACTACTACCTTGTATTCAAAACATATGCAGGCCAAAAAAGAGGATACATGGACAAGTTTTCTCATTTAATTCAAAATTTAAAAAAATTCAACACAGATAACTCAAATAAACTGTCATAATAACTTTTGTTATATGATAATAAACTGAGTTTTTTCATATTTCCATTAGTGTTTTGTCTTTCTAAGTTCTATTAAACTATGGAGGCTCTTGAAAATATAAGCATACAGAAAAACTTCTGTAGAGAAGTGACTAAATAGTTTTACATTCTCCAAGCCAATGCAATCATGAAAACACTGGTCTGAGAGGATGCATAATCTCTAAACTGATGAAGGATTTAATCAGATGAATCTGGACTTTTCAAAAAAAAAAACCTTGTACATATTGAATGTCTCAAAACTCGAATGAAAAGAAGAAGAAAAGATAAGCTTTTCAAAATCAGTTAGTAAATAAGAAGTATTGCACAAGCCTAAAGCAAACAGCTAATATTTATTGAGAACTTTTCGGTAGTCAAGCAATTTGTTAGGGAAAGTTAATGTGTAGTTTCATATATTACAGCATTACTAAGAGGTAGAGGATTATTAACCCCATTTTACATATGAAAAAGTGAGTTTCAGGAGTTTAAGTAGTTGTCTAGCTAGCCCATAAAGCTAGAAAATTGGGTAGACAGAAACAGAATTTAGCTCTGCCGGATACCCAGAACCAACTCAATAGCAATATTGTTACATTATAATCATTTCATTAAGAAAAGTTAACTCAGTATGGAAAATGTCTATATTTGCATCCAAAATGTATCTAAATGATAAATATTTGGCATTTAAGAAATTGTAAGGGTTTCAGATAACCTTTTAATTGTGGCAAATTACAGTATTCCTACTTCATTCAAATTTATAGTTAACATCATATGAATTATGTTATTAATCAGATTAAAAGTGTAGATAATTTTTCTGTCAAAGTTACTTTTTTTTCTACGATTCAACTAAGAACTATCTTTGTTGATTCATTGGGCAGATTGTTTATGCTGATAATAAAAGTTGAGTAGGCTAGTAGGCAAAATACTTTAGTACTTTGGAAAAACGGGATTATATTTCCAAGAACATGGCTGATATAATACTAAAATATAAGAGTAGAAAAACAGATATAATGTGAATAATTTATAAAATGTCTTACTTTTTGTATTTCTCATATGGTGCCATCAGCTATTTAAATTATATGCTCAAAAGTAATGCATTTTTGGCTTTGTATCTCTAATTATCTTAAAAATTATATGTATCAAAACATGACATGCTATAATTCATCAAGTAAGATAATACAGGACAGTAAATCATGATGTAATAGATCATTTGCCATGGCTCAGTGCTTTTAATAATGATGTAACATAAATTTATATGAAAGTATGTTAAATACATAAATATTTTAAATTCAGGTCTCTTATTAGTTTAAGAATGGAAACACTAAATATTAAGTATTGATCTTAATTTTTTAATAAAGGGCCACTATCATATTCTAAAGAAGAAAATTTATAATATAAAACACTATTTTTATCATTACACTTTGTAGAAATTTCATTCTTATGCCCTTCATACATCTTAATCTCCCACATATAATAATAAAAATCTTTATGATCTATGGATAATTGCGCTGGATACGTATAATCAACCCTCAATTATAATTTCAGAGGCAAGAAAGAAATCACATAGACAAATGAAATTCTCAGCTAAAACAAGAATCAGAGAATCATGGAATTTAGAGCTGAAAGAGACCTTAGAGATCACCTACTCCAACCCCCTCATTTTACATATGAATAAATTGAGCTCTGTGAAATTAAGGAACTTTCCAAAGGTCACATAACCAAGTTTTTTATAAAACAAGGATGAGTGGTCTTTTGGTTCAGGCTTTTCCCTTAGTTCTAAACTGCCTGTGAAGAAGTCCATCCAGCTGAAATTGACCTAGTGACTTAAAAACATCTAGAGACACACCATTGTAGTCTTCTCACTGTGCCTACCCCATTACTTTAAACTCGTTCTTACCAGATGAAAATATTGTTCAAAACTACTCGTTGTTTGTAAGAGTTACAAGGTTGCTCCAAATATTATTTATTAATTGTCTAATGAAAGTAATTTTTGCTGAGTTTAACACCCTTCTAACTAGAGTGTTTCAGTGGAGATGTGAGGGACAAGAAAGGCAGAAAAGCCAAAGAAAAATACACTCGAGTAAATGTTCTTGAATAGGAAACTCCAAAGAAACAAAAAGGAATGTGTTCATTCATTTAACACTCTTTCACTAAGTACTTGAGTGTTTGTTATTTCCAAACTTTCCTTCTGATGAGATTCCCTACCACCACTCTTAAGGATCCTAATTCAGTAGCCAGGCTGAGCCCAGGAATCTGCATCCTTAATTGTGATTCTTATAGTTAGACAAATTTGCAGAAACTGTGTACTATGTAAAAGCAGCCAGTACGCCACAGAGAATATAATGATTCATAGGAAAGAGATTCTGGCTTTGTGGAATTTATAATCTAGAAGTAGAGATAAAGGTACAAACAAATGATAGCTGCATAGTGGGCCTGCATCTGATGAGAAAGGAAAACTTCACAGGATGTGAACAGTGAGTGAAATTGTTATAGATAGAAATGAAAAGAGCACTGCATATGGTGGGAATAGCATGTGCACAGTTAGGCAATAGGCATACACACAGATAGGAGAAAAGGAGGAAGAAAAAGTATAGAGCCAGTTTGTCAATAAGTGGGATGAGAGTTGTCTACACTTATGATTCATGAAGAAATGGAGGTGGAGATTGGGCTAGAATGTTATTTGGGGATCAGATCAAGGATGTAAAGATCTAGACCAAGAAATGTGTGAATGTCTTTGAGTATGGGGCCAATCTGATCACAGTCATATGTTTGAATCTTTCATCTGAAACATAGATTGTAAGATTAATTGGACAGGGGAAAAAGTAAAAGATACAAAAGCCATTTTGTGAGTTAGATGACTAATTGTTAATTTTCAGACTGAATTAAACCTTCAGAATGTTTCCAGGAATATTAATCTAAATTTCATGTTTCAAATATCTTCAAGCAAATTTTCAGAGCTGTCATAGAATTATGAAGGTGCCTCAGGAGTACTTACTATATCCCTATGCAATTTCACGTGTCAGGATCTTGCAGGACTAGTGAAAATCTATCCAATTCTTAGAGACCTCCAAAGCAACTCATTACAATGTTTAATAATTCTCACTGTCAGAAAATATGTATTAATATATAATCATAATCTCTCTTTATCTGGTCCACACTTTTCTGTTCAATAGTCACTGGATAAGATAAATCATTACTATTGTTGATCCAATCATGTCACATAGGCCATTAAGTTATGGCTTTCCCTCCTTCCCTAAAATTAATAGCTCAATTCTATTAAGTTCTCCTTATGGTTCTTATTTTTGCTGCTCCTGTTATCTCTAGTTTTGCTTAGCCACAAGCCTAACTGTGTCTATGTCTTGAATATATGTTAGCTTTTTTTAAGCAAGTCAAGCACCATTTTTATAAAGCAGTAACATTAAAGTATCTGAAAAAATAATTTATGTAAAACAAAATATAAATATTTTTGTGTATTTTGTTATTCTAATATTACAGAGAAGAAACAGAGATGTAGTGGTGTGACTTATACCAACTCACGTAGTGGCAGTGTGGCACTCTATGACCTGTTGGCTCCAAGTAAAATATTATATACTGTGTTATCCTACATTTTCATGGAATTAAAAACCCACATGATAAGAAGCATGTTTTAGGGAACAAGATGATAAGTTTAATTTGGAGAGAGTGTGGGACTTCTAGGAAAGATCTCCAGTTGGTAGTTGGATACACCGGTTTGTATTCAAGGAGTAAAGCAGGCTGGAAGCTATATTTGAAAATATAACAAAGACTGGGTGTTGAGATCACCCTGCTTTGGGAAACCAGCAAATAGAACAGTATCTGAAGAATAGATAGAGTGAAAAAAAGCAGTCAAAATGTAGGAGAAGGTAAGGAAAGAAGATATTTCTAGAAGAGAGTTGTTAGCCATGAGCTGAGAAGTGGCTAATCTAAATAGATTAGAAGTGGTGAGGATGAGACGAGGCAAATCCTTTAATAAGTGTGCCAGGGAAAGGATGAGAAGGTGGGTCTCTAGAAAAAAGAAACATGGAAAAACTGGAAGAAATTTAACTATGGTTTTAATGCTGATATTAAGAAAGTGGAGAGAAAAAGAAATATATGGTTGGAATGGGGAATAATCAAGGAAATGAGGTCTTATGAAGAGGTACATCCAAAACACTGAAAATGGATTTGCTTTAAGAATGAGAACTTTCTCTTTCTTCTTGTTGGAGGTAAGGGTGAATATGACGATAGAGAGTGTTTTATTTAATTTCTAGCACTTTCTCTGTAAAGCAGATATTCGCAGAGTGATGAATATTGTGGTTGCCTAGTAAATTTGAAAGATAAGTTTTAGAATAGGTACAGCAGGTTAAAAAAAAAAAAGCAACTGAAGAAAGGGCTGCTAGAGATAGCAAGATGGACCCAGTTGAGATTGGAGGTCATAGATTTGTGGTGGTTATGCAGTGTGATTTTCTTTTCATCAGCACTCAGCAGACTGTGTATAGTTTAGGGAAAGAGAGATAATTGAAAGTATTTAGAGTTAGATTTTTGAAGAGCTAACAGAAATCAGAAAGGAGATAATTGGCAAGAGAGTGATTGAAGTGATATGATGCACATTCTCCACTGGGTAGCAAAGCAGGTAGAGGCAGGAAGATTTAATTATAAGAAAGAAAAGTACGAGTCAAGGCATTACAAATCTTGACTTTGTTGAAGTACAAGTGTAAAAAGAAATTTGTCTTTAATCAGAACTTTGACAACTATGGTTTATAAATAATTTTAATCTCCAAAAGCAACATCTGGTAAAAATACCCAGCTTTGCAGAATAAGTTTAGGATTTGGTGACATCAGCCTGAAGGCACAAACTGCCTGAGTCAAAAACATTAAGCATGCTGTTCATATTATACAAAATAATGTAGTCTTTGGCAAACTATTAAGTCATGTTTTTTTTAGAAACCCCAACATGATGTGATATATTCACTAGATTTTAGGGTTCACAAATGTAAGATGTAAAATATCTTTTAGATCGACTAACACAACAGTGGTTCTCAAACTCTTGTCTCCAGACCAGCAGTATCAGCACACCATAGGAATTTGTTAGAAAGGCAAATTCTCTGCCACCCACTCTTCTGCTGAATTAGAAACTCTTGGAGTGGGGGCTAGTGAACTGTGTTTTAATAAGCCCTCCAGGTGAATCTGATGCTCACTAAAGTGTGAGAGGCTCTACAGTACACTAATCTCAAGGTGCAAGTTGATTGGTCAAAAAGGTCAGCCTGGATTTTTCTCTAATAATTATGATTTTAACTTGTATTATCTGCCAAAATTTTTTCAAAAACTGTAATTTCAAACCAATATCTTACTAACAAGGACAGATTAGCCAGGATTAAGATTCAGTGAAAGTACAGCCCAAAATAAGAAGCACTCTACTGATCTGAATAAGGCTGTTAAAGTGGGGCAAAAAAACAAAACAAAACAAAACAAAAACACTTCAAATTTTGATAGAATCCTCTTGGTTTATATACCTTCCAGCATAGGTGACTTTATTTCTTCAGCTTTGCTGTTGAAAGGTGTGTTAGAAATAAATATTACAATCCATAAAAGAAAGAAACCAAGGGCTTTCACAGACAGTAGTAATGGCTACGTAATTTAAACAAAGTCCCAGGGCTAATGAAATGGCACTTGATGGGAGTTTCAGGGGCCCTCCATTCTGCCTTCAAAGTGAAGGTTGTAAGGAAATCCTAGGTACGTTGTTCATTACACTTTAGTTGATCTGGCAGCATTAGGGAAGGAGGAGGGGAAAGGAAAGAAAGAGAAAGGGAGAGAGGATATGGGAGTGTGGGAAAGAGTCTGAGATGGCTACTAGAGAAAGCAATTGACTGGTAGAGCTGTAAAGTTTCTACATGTGGAAAAAAAATCAAATCTTGATCCCTGGCATAAAGTCTCTATGAAGCTAAGTTACAGTTCAAGAAAATTCAGCAATATGGTTGTCATGGTATGACAAACAACATTATGTTTTCTTGTTGAATTATATCTTCTGCTTTTCCTTTCTTCAGCAACTATAGCTAAGGATCGTTAAGACAAAAATGAAGTATCCAACATAAAATGACTTTCCGGTATTCCCTGAAATAAGTTCCTTTGAATTGAGTTAGAATAACACGTAAATAAAAAATATTTTTCATAAGAGCTGACTGTTAATAATAAATCTCTCTCAGTAGATAACTCATTACATCCCACTAACCTGGAACTCAATAAACATGAATTAACAGATTCATAGGGAAAAGAAAACAAGATTAAAAAAAAGCTTTCAAGTCTATTATGACCCAATATTTTCTTTAACACATTTAATTTACAATAGAGTGTAGTAAAATTTTCAATGCTTACTTTAAACTTTCCATTATAGGAGTACTTTTTATTGCAATTTTTCAAATTAATTGCTAGTGGTTAAAAAATCTGACAAAATATACAGTAATTTATTTTTTACTCTCAAATTTAGAATGCCATTCTTGTGACATGGTGAATTAATCCATGAAGATACTGTAAATTCAGAAACCACTAATATTATGAGCAGATAATATTCAGAATTTAATTAGATAATTGATGTATAAACTACTGTGAACTATGAATATTGTAATGGCCTATGAACTGCAATAAAACTATTCTCAGTCATTTATACTCTATAGTATTTTAGATACTAAGCCACTGCATTTGCATTTCTGTAGCAAAGGATTTCGTTTTCTTGAAACATGTTATGGCCTGGCCTCATTAACTAAAAAATTAAAAAAAAATACAATTATAGAAAGTCTTCAGAGGTTCTAAAGTGCTATGAATTTTGGAGTGGTTAATGGCATGAGTGTTATTAGCTCAAATTAATCCTGTTGCTTTGGTAGGTTATTTGGAACTATTCATATTTTAATCTAAGAATTTTGTTGTAATTCCATTGGATTTCTTTAAGACTTTAGACCAAAAATAGTGTTGCATTCATAAATCATATGAAAGCAAAATACATATCTCTGTATTGTACTCTACATTAGCTAGTAAATTTCTAAAGTCTTTGCTTTTTTATGGGACCATTCTAGTTGAAAATAAAATAGGTAGTTATTCACAATGGGTATGTAGCTATATCTATAACATTTCCTCATGATTTTCCTGCTGTGGAAATTTGTACTTAACCTTTGAACTTAAGTTTTCTTTACATCATATTTACATATTACACTTTTTGAAATATGTGGACAAGTTGTTTCGTTTAACATACTCTACAATATAAACATCTTACTTTAGGAACCATACCATGTATTACAAGATCAACTTAAATCTGCTATTTTTACATGATTTCACAACACATTTTGTAGTAGTATATAGATGCCATATGATTTTAAGAGTTACACATACAGGAATTTCATTTGCTAAATGTGACATATTTCAACTTACATAAAATTACAAGATGATAGTATTTCAATACTCTCAGGCCAGAAAGTTTTGTCCCTGAAACAATTGGAAGCATTCCTTTAAAATACTTTCTTAAATTTTTCATTTTCTTGAATGAAAAAAAAGGAACAATGGAACTTAACAAAAATTTAATACTAATACGGATAAGTTAAACATAAAACTGCATTGTCATATTAATGGGTAAAGGTTTTTTGAAGTATGGTCAATTTATTGATTTGAGCATGTAAAACTGTTCCTGTTACTTAGGCAGCTTTCTTTTGTTACATCAAGAATGGTAATTTTATTGAGAAAGGCACAATAGAAGATGATTGATTGTCTGCTTTTGTCATGGAGATGAATTATTGCAGAATGCATGCATGAAAAAATAAAAGCATTGTTCTGTAAATTGGCCCTTGATGCTTTGTTCATTTGAGTTCATTGTTCATAGACTCTAGCATGAGCTAATACTAAATAGCATAGTAAATAAAAGCATTTTTTTTGCTAAAGCAAAATTACTTTCTTCACTAATGAAACTCAGCTTTATGAAATCACAGTGTCTGCCAGTGTGCTGCATTTAAAATGTATAATTTAATCTATGCCAAAAGCTGAGTAGTAACAGAAAGTTTGCATAGCTATTATCATTTTATTAAATTAGTAATAAGAGTGCATAATGAAAAATGAAAAACTTTTTATTTAAAACTTAATGGGAAAGCAGCGCACAAGCAATGCAAATTAAAAAGTGGTACATTTAATTTGAGACAGTTGAATAAAATCTATTAAGACAAATACAATTGTCAGTAACCATTGAATGACTTCAATAACTTTTTAATCAAAAAATTAGAATCATGACTATCAAATTTTCTAAGACTTATAAAACGATAAAATATTAGAATACAAAAACACATCTCATCAACTGTTATATCTCTAAAATAAGACATAAAATACTACTTTTAAATAGATGAATGTCATGCCAACTTAGTATTAGCTTCTTAGAGAAATTCTTTCTTTCTTTTTATTTGAGGCACGAATACCTGAATACCATCTAATGTAATTAATCTGTTGTTTTATTAAGTTTGGTCTTTGGATAGATTTTAATGTCAATGACAATCAGTCTCTCCAGCTATGCTACTTTTAACCTAGTTTTGTTTTTTCTTTTCTTTTCCAGTGCACTGTGATTTGCTGAGAGACAGAGCACTTCATTCTAGATACAGCTATCACCTGGTGTTTGCTAAATCACTGAAATTCTTGCAACAGCTGTTTGTTCCTGGGGAAACATTCACTTCATATTGCAGCAATAAACTGATCATTGCCAATTAAATGCCCATTAATTGTGTAAGCAAGGATTACTGCCAGATGTTTACATTAGAAAGAAAAATATCCTTTGCTATTTATTTTCCACTTATGGCCATCCCTTTACATGTAGACAATTATGTATATAAGTTTTTTATAATAAGCCACAAATTTCAATTCAGAAATTAATAAAATAATCTCTCCATAGGTTTGATCTAACAGAAGATAGGCTAGGATAAATCATACATGTAATTAAAAAGAATAAATTTGGACAGAATCACTTTGCAATGTAAAAAATATGCTCAACATTACATAGTGACTCAAATGTTTTGGTTTGTTTTATTTGCTATATTCTATCTTTCCTAGAAGTTGTCCTTATTTTCCCTTTATTCTATTTGGAATAATAAGCCTATGAAATTGTATTTTTTAAAGTTGAAATAGAATAAACTCTCTCCCATAGTCTATTATGGAGAAGAAAACTTTAAAAATAAAGAACCCATATAAAATAAAGGAAGGTGGTGTTTTGTAGAATTTTTGTTAAATCTCACCACTTTTATATTTACCTGGGGCTTCATTCTATCTCAAAATATTATTTAAGTTCTTCTCCAGAATGCAATAGTGATGAAAATGAAACATGTACTTAATAATATGTTGTCTCAAGTAATTTATTTTTCAACATCAAAACAAAATTGGAAATAAAACACCAACCATAATGAATATATTTATTACCTCTTTTAGTGTCTAAATAAATGGTGAAAGTTAAAGAAAAAAAGTGCTTCCATGGCAATACACACCTATAAATCATGTTTTTTTAGACAGGAGAGCTCTCACAGAATATATCATATACATATTTCGCTGCAGTTGTGCCTTCATGTTTTTATAAGGAACAGTAAATTCATATACATATCCTCCCTGTTAGCATCATTAATCCCAAACCCTCACATCCCAACCATACAATGTATGCAAACAATAACAACAAAAAGATTAGGTGGCATTCTGTTCCTCACCATATTGAACCACACCTCCTCTTTGGAAGGTGATCACAGGACACATTCAGAGCTGCGGAAGACATGAAACAGTAGCATCTGGCTCCTTAAATATCTCCACAGGCATTTGTAATGGCATCTTTGAAGTTTTCTCTGCATCTGTCACATGTTTAGACTGCACATTGACTGCCCCAGCTGAGCACGATTTTGATTCTTTGAGACTTTGAATAGTGTAATCTGTTTAAGAATAAGGCTCGGGAAAATCCCTCATAATATCCATACACAAGCTCTTTCATGATTAAAAAAAGGGGGTCCTCATTCCCATAACTGTTATTTTTTTATGCTGAAATGATGCCAGCCTTTGAGTTAATAATACAGCCTACAATTACATTCCAGCTTTGCACATTTTTTTTGAGAACCTGTACTCAAAAATCACATCTTGTCTACTTTTTTCTAACCAGTGTTATAGAAATTACTACTTGAGAAGAAGGCCTCTGTAAATGTGATGTGTGCATAATCGTCTTGGCACCCAATTATAAAAGAAATCTGACCACTGTCAACTCACTTTGAAAATCATCTTTGATTCAACTTATTGAGTATCAAGTGCAGGATATAAGAATAAAGGGTGAGTTGACTTAAATGGTAGTTTGAGTGCTATTGACTTTGCATCTATTAAATTAATATACTTCTTACAATTAAGTGATGAGGACTCCACTTAACCCACCTCAATATGTGAAAAGACTATTTCCTACTCTTAATGGTATCCTCAAGATATATCAAACGCCCACAAATACAAATTAAGACTATTAAGTATGGGTTCATTCTTTCCAATTCCAAAGTTTTGTTATTTTAAACTTTTGAAAATTAACAAAAACTGTCTTTGGTGTCTCTAAACTCAATATTTCAATTTCATTTTCCTCAGATGAGAAAAATACCTCATAAGTTTATTGACTGTAGAATATCAAGAGCTTACTATTTCACTCTCTCTTAAAGCTTTCTGTTTTAAAAGAGAACCACATGAAAGAAACGTTTCACACTAAATCATGACTAATTTGAGCATTTTTGCACATACGTGCACACACACACATAAACACACACACACACCCCAAAACAAACTGAAAATGTAAAAAAAAAAAAAAAACAGCTGTTTTAAGGCAGAAGGTTTTTTGAGTCACACTGAATTATATCATTTCGGACATCATTTTCTGTTTGCTTATGAGATTACCTTGACAGAATTGGTTACTTTGTATAGTTCATAAAGAGGTTTGCGGGTCGTTTTTTTTCTTACTTAACAAAAAGAGCACCACTACTTAAAGAATGTAAAAGTAAAACTCAGCATCAGGAATAGTTGCCAAAATATTGCATACTCATATCTTGAACACAGTAGGTTGTCATGAGACATCAAGCTATTTATACAAATGAGTTAACCTTATGAATGTCAGTAATCAAAACCCTGGAGTGAGGCTTAGAATGAGACAGTAGCAGGTATGAAACAGCTGGGAGAAATTGGGAGCACTTGTAAAGAAGAGGTTCAGATGCACACTACATTCCATATGAAGAGAATTCATAGTACTCAACTTATCTTTCTGAAGCGTTTTCACTCTCCTTTGGGGAGCATGTCACTATAGAATGTGTAGTAGCTTCTTTCTGACCTCCTTCTGCCAACTTGAGAGTGACTCTCTTCAAAGTCTTAGATTACTAAGGACATTATATCCACCAAAAAGGTCACAGTGCATTGGTATAGCTTTTTTACCTAATGTTTGTGACTTTCATTATATGCCTGTTTGATACACAGATATACAAATTTGCTCACCCAATAGCATGCAGATGTGTCTTTGCATTCACACATATGGGTCTCTTAATTCAGATTTGGATGAATGGTTAAACTAAAATGTCAGACTTGGTCAGGCTTGGTCATTCTGATTGAATACAGGTCTTGTTCCCAAATAGAATACAAAAAGGTCAGCGTGTGCTACTTGTTCCCAGAAAACACAATGATGAAAGACCATAAGAGGGAAGTGTGGGTCCAGTGATTTAGAGGCCACTGCGACTTCACAAATTAAGAACACCAGAGAAATGTCTACTGTGAACTCATTTGGCTATCATGATGGTGCATCTGTAAGTGACAAAAGCCACTTTAGGCATTAGTTGTAGGAGAGAGTGTGAAGCAGGAGTGAGAAATTTGTTCTCAAAGAATACTTTATCAGTCTCAGTTCCATCTTTATTATCAAGCATCCATGCCATACAGTTTCTTTCTTATTTCCCTTATGGGTAACTGTGGAAGAATTCTGAAATAAAGTGTTGATTTTTATGACTATTAAGAAAAAACTTGGATGACAAATTAATTCACTTGATATCCGAATAATTACGATTTAGAAGGATAGGCTATAAAATACTATAGGAGAACGATTCTAGAGATGTTGAAGGAAAATATAGGCAGACAGCTTTAGAGAAAATATTCAGTTATTATTATTAATGTAATCATCTATTTATTCAACAAACATTTACTACAGTACTATTATGTTATAAGAATTGTGAGAAAGAATATTGTAATGGGAAAAAATACTAATTTGCTAATGGTTTTAATTCTGGTTCTTTCACTAACTGGCTGCTAACCAAGAATAGGCTATAGCACTAATTTTCTCATTTGTAAAATAAGAAGAGTAAAATAGTTAACTAAGTATCTTCCAGCTCTAACACTCATTACTGCATTTTTCATTTTTCAATCAGACAGTGCGTCATATTGTACATTTAGCCCATGGGTCTCCAGATTGCTGCTTCAGACTCTTCAAACTGAGTAGTGCATTTCCCACTCTGACAATCAAGTTCATATCATGAGATTCCTTTGATACTAGTCTTCAAATACAAAAATGTTGGAAAGGGAAAACACCTAATACTTGAACAGGGCGCACACAAAAAAGAGAGGCTGCAGAATGCAAATAGTACTGCCTCATTCCAGAATGAAAACACACCTCCAAATTTACCACATGAATCTGCCAAAATCCCATGTGTGTTTCATGAGACATTATTTCCACAATATTCTCCATAAGAAAGAGTTTGGTGGCCGGACGCGGTGGCTCACGCCTGTAATCCCAGCACTTTGGGAGGCCGAGGCGGGCAGATCACGAGGTCAGGAGATCGAGACCTTCCTGGCTAACACGGTGAAATCCCATCTCTACTAAAAGTACAAAAAATTAGCCGGCCGTGGTGGCAGGCTCCTGTAGTCCCAGCTACCCGGGAGGCTGAGACAGCAGAATGGCATGAACTCGGGAGGCGGAGCCTGCAGTGAGCCGAGATCGCGCACTACAGCCTGGGTGATAGAGCGAGACACCGTCTCAAAAAAAAAAAAAAAAAAAAAAAAAAGGAAAAAGAAAAAAAGAAAGAGTTTGATCAAATGTGTCTAAAACGTTCTCTACACGACCAATCTTAAAAGCTCAGGAATGACAATTCTGAGAAGACTTAAAATTAAAATAACCGTTTAATGCTTACCCTTTCCAAACTTATCTAAGCACATGACTACAGAATCCAATTTAGAAGACATTGTAGTAGAAAATAAAACCAATATTTGGCCTAATGGATTTCTTAGGAAAAGGAGAAAAAAAAAAAAACCTAAGACAATTAAGACTAAAGCCCAGTGAAGATTCCATACTGTGGCCTTCATAGAAAAGCATATAGCCAGGAGGGTACTCTTTGTTAAACTTACCTTCCATCCCACAAGCCTAAGTACATGGGATATGGGTTAAAGGGAAGTCAGGTGAGTGCCATATATCCCTCACCTTTTAAGGAAGGCAGAACCTTATCATGAGAGGCTATTACTGCTGCAAAGAACACAAGTGTTTTGAGTATGGACGTGGAGTACAGTGAAACCTTCTCATAAAGTTTCATAGGAATGAGATTTTAGATATAATTGGATTTGATCTTGAATCTCATCTTCCACCCAGCAGGCTTGGTAATGGCAAAAAGGAGGTAGAAAGTAGATCCCTGCCTCCACAGTATCCTGTCTACCTGATCCAGATTGGAACAACAAAATGGGCAGTGTAATTCATTTTGTGAATCACTCCCATAGGACCATTAACAGCCTCCATTAGTATATAAACCAGAGCGCACAAACACCACCCAGGTGTTGTCAAACCATTACCAGGGTACATTTGAATCCCTCAGAAGCATCCAGGGAACTGATGAAAAATTAGTATCCAAATTTGCCCCAGTCATGTCATTCCTCTTGCCAAAACATTATTCCACATCCTGATTGACTTTTTTCAGACTCAAGTTATCACTTAACATTAAAATTTTAGTGTATAGGAAGTTAAAATCCGTCATAAGGAAATCAGTGGCCATGAACATGAATGCTGAGCAACTTCTCTGCAAGAGAGTTTTTTGAATAGTTCCTTAGTAACCACCTCTTGGCTCTTTGCATCACTGTGAAATGCTTTCGCTGCAAATGTATAGAAAAACTGATAAATGGTGTCTTAAATAAAAGGAGCTCATTTTTCTCACTTGTAAAACAAAACAAAAAAATAGCTACTGACACTGAATACCATCTAACTAGCTCAATAATTCAGGTCCAATATATCTATTTTTGGCCTTTCCCTCACTGATGCCAGACTGCTCCTATAGCTTAGGTATCATTTGTATATCAGAGATGGACAAGGGAAAAAGCAGTATCAACCATGACAGTCACTTTCAAACTGAAAGTAACAGGCTTCCCAGCAGGCTACTTGGCACATAGTGGCAAGGGAGCCTTGGATTGCATGTGTCAAAAGAAAGGAAAGGAAAAATTGTCAAAGGGTGCTGAGTAGCCACTAAGAATGATATATCTCATCTAAAATCAGTTCACTTTCTATAGTTATAATTACAAAGAGCCTTTCAAAACTAAAAAAAAAAATTAAATAAAGCTTGACAAAAATATCCAAACAGTGACTCTACAATATTTGTTTCAATCCTAACAAAAAAGGATGGCTTTCAATTTTAGTTTAAAGCAATGTTATTGATTTTTTTCCTACCTGAATGGGTTGCAAATAACAGTGATTTTTATATGGCCATGTTAATCCAAAACAATGCCAGTTTCCATTGATGAAATATTGGTAAAGAAATTTATGACAAGATCATTCAAATCTCAGGTTTCTTTCTTTGCTGGTATTTCCTTTATTATTTTGCTAGTTTTTCTTCCTGGCATTTCTAGGACGTCCTCAGTTGCCTATTGTCTCAGTAGGATTTTTAAAAACACCACTTTTACTTTCTAAAGTGTTCTGGTTTGGGCAATAAATTACATGGTAACTCACTCCATCCATCTCTCTTCCTATGCAAATGATTCTCAAATTTATATTATTATACCAACCATGCACCTGACCCAGAGAACTCCATTGAGAGTGGCCTACTTGATATCTCCAAAATGCTCCTCTGAAACTCCACTATCCATAAACATGCCATCAATTTAATGATTCTTTTTTTTTTATTATTATACTTTAAGTTTTAGGGTACATGTGCACACTGACCATCAGTGAGGCGCCTGAGAGACCAGACAAGGGCTCTAGGAATTTCTGTTAAATGTATGCATAAGCTACTTACTTAGCTCTGCTCCATGTGCTTCCAAATTGCTCCTACCATTTGGGGACAATCCCAATCCCTAGGTATTTGGGATTGGTATTGCCTGACATAGAAAAAGGAGACAACAAATGGTATTTCTAGTTCTAGATCCTTGAGGAATCGCCACACTGTCTTCCCCAATGGTTGAACTAGTTTACAGTCCCACCAACAGTGTAAAAGTGTTCCTATTTCTCCACATCCTCTCCAGCACCTGTTGTTCCCTGACTTTTGAATGATTGCCATTCTAACTGGTGTGAGATGGTATCTCATTGTGGTTTTGACTTGCATTTCTCTGCCATCCCATTACTGGGTATATACCCAAAGAATTATAAATCATGCTGCTATAAAGACAGATGCACACGTATGTTTATTGCAGCACTATTCACAGTAGCAAAGACTTGGATCCAACCCAAATGTCCATCAATGATAGACTGGATTAAGAAAATGTGGCACATATACACCATGGAATACTATGCAGCCATAAAAAAGGATGAGTTCATGTCCTTTGTAGGGACATGGATGAAGCTGGAAACCATCATTCTGAGGAAACTATCGCAAGGACAGAAAACCAAACACCGCATGTTCTCACTCATAGGTGGGAATTGAACAAAGAGAACACTTGTACACAGGGTGGGGATCATCACACACCGGGGCCTGCCGTGGGGTGGGGGGAGGGGGGAGGGATAGCATTAGGAGATATACCTAATGTAACTCACGAGTTAACGGGTGCAGCACACCAACATGGCACATGTATACATACGTAACAAACCTGCACATTGTGCACATGTACCCTAGAACTTAAAGTATAATTTAAATAAAGAAAAAATTTATATAATGCAAAAAAAAAGGAAAAAAAGAAAAGAAAAAGGAGACAACAAAACAAAGCTTTTGAGAGAACACATTGATGATCCAGCCAGACTCTTTGCTAGAATGACAGGTAATTTAAAGCCACCAATCAACATGCTTTTGAATGGGCTTGGGAGAACCACAGATTCAGAATAAACTGTTGGCTTCCTGAAAGAAATGGTTAGAGAAGTGTAGAAATGTGACATGTGCCAGAATTACTAAAAGTTAGAAAACCGTGTATCTCTTCACTAGGACTTTGAAGGCAGCACTGCACTTCCGTGTCCCCTCTGCTAACTTTTAGCCCTTGCTATAGCCAAGACTGTTGACAAAGCAGAGAAAAACACTCCCATCAGGCATAAGTCATCTATTCAGCAGAGCAAACAGAAATGTAAGATTCAATGTTGCCTTTGTCTGTTACCCCCAACAGATAAGTCGTCACTTTATTCTTACTATTAACCTCCTATTTGTCTAAACTTTCATATTCTCTCACCTGTACAAGTGTAAGAACCTCCTCACTGCCCTGCCAGTTTCCACTCCTGCTGCCCCACCCCACCGAAACCACACATTTTAAAATGAAAATCCATTAATGCTTTTTGTCTGTTTAAAACTCATCAATGATTTCCAACTGCTTTTAGGATAAAGATCCATATCTTTACTATGGTCTACAAGACTCTTCATGAGCTAGTTTATGTATATCTATAAATTATCACTTTAAAACCATATTCTGAAATCCTTTTCTACCCTGGATTTTGTTCCTTGACAGAACACTTCCATCTCATGTCCTCTGAATACACTGTTTAATGTTCTTGGGATAAACTCTACCTTTTTTTTAAGTTAAAACCTGTCATCTTTCAGACCATGGCTCAGACATCATTTCCTCAGGGAACTCTTCTCTAAACCCTAAGGCTAACCCTCTCATACTGCAAATGTGCTCTTATACCTTCACAAACTTTTCCTTCGCAGAATTTATCCTTGTATGATTACTGGATCACAATCATCTCCCCCCATGCCTTTATGGGGAGTATTGTATCTTTTTTGTGTATTTTGTATGCTATTTCTGAGTATTTGTATGCTTTTTTCGTGGGGAGTATTGTATCTTTAGCACAGTGTTTGGCACATAGTAGGTTTTCAATAAATAATTGTCAAATGAATGCATGAATGAATATAAACATAATACATATCTTATTGTAGTACCAGATCATGTTTAGTCTTTATTGTCAACGGACACTCCAAGTGAAAGTCATTCTTCCAAATAATAATCTTAAATGGTGGAATTATTACAGCTTCCCACCAAAACATTTGTGATTATCTTTACTCATACACTTACCCAAACTAACTTTTATATTCATCGACTATGATGCTGCTAGGTTAGTGATAATGATTAATCACTATGCAGAACAGCATTTTTAAATTTGTCTTAAAACTACTCAATTTTCAAAGTTTCCCCTCATAGTATTAATGTAGACTTTTTAAATGTTATCTCATGTGACATTTTATGATTTTAGAGATAGTTCTTATACTCCTTTCCAACAACAGCAAACCCTGTGGTGCTCCACACAGACTCCATTTACCAGTCAGGCACATCTGTCTCCCAGTCTGTTTATCAGCCACTAGAAGTGTTGGCTTCTAACAGCTCACAGTTGACCCCTTCTCCACAGAATTGCCCTTGGCTGATGGGGGGCCTTCTCTCTTCTAGAAAAGAAGATAAAGTTCGTAGCCACCAGGTCACTGCATAACTAATACATCTTGACACATATAAAAGTACTGATTAAAATTCCTTTCCAAAAACCATTTTTCTTCCTAATAAACTATTTTTCATTGATATTACTAAACAGCAAGGCTTGGTAAATGCCATTTCAAAATTTAGTTGCAGGATTGAGATTTTATAAAGGTAACTCAGTATACCTAGAGAGAGTTTTCCTCCTAGTTGCACAGCCCCATGTAAATTCAGAAAGTAAATCATTCTATTTGTACGGTGTATTTAACAAATAAATTTAGAATGAGTATGTCATTGGTTCATTTACATAAAAACAAAATCAACATGGCACTACATATGAAAAATTACATATTAAAAAATAGACAGTATTAATTGTTCAACTCTTATTTTAGAAGCCGAGAGGGAAAAGAAAACTGAAGTGCTAAAACGCAGTGGCTAAATCTTGTATTATGGGCCAACCAGCCTCAGCCAGTCACTTACAGTTCTCTAAAGATCCAATAAGCATTCATCAATTAAAATAAGAGAAAAAGATAAACAACCCTTGTCAAGGTGGCTATTAATTTCAGAAGTCTACAAAGCTACTCAGTCTTGATCCCTGGTGAAAAAAACTGGTTGGTATATAACTGACTCTAGTTCACATCATACAGCAGCTTTCAGTCTCAAAGGTCCCAGAGAAAGAGTGAGCAGAGTTCCAATGTCAGAGATTTCAGCCAAGGTTCTTATTGCGGGGGCAGTGCTTAGAGGTCAATTTCAATCCTCAAGCTGAAAGAAGTCACAGTGACAAATAGGTAATGCAAAAGATTTAAGTTTGTTATCTAGACATTTGCATTATGGTAAGAACTTAATAAATACGTTAAATTAAAAATTGTTCCAATTATATAACCTATTTTAGCTTCCTAAAATTTTATATCAAAAAAGTCTACTTTGAATACGCTATCAATAACCATAGAAATACTTTACTTAATTAGATTCTGTTCTATCTTTAAATTATGTTTAAGTATAAGAAGACAAGAATAAGGTAAGCTCACTATGTAATAAACACTATATAATCTTCATAATTTGATTTATCCTCATACTGTATTTGATATTAGTATGTACAGTTATCTAAATGCCACCTTCTCCCGTTCATGTATTTAATTCTTAAAGTTTTAGATTATAATATTAAGGAAACTACACACATAGAAATTAGTAATTTTTCTAACAAAATATAGGACAAAATTTTTACCTAAAATGGGTTAAAATAAAACTGACTTATTCCAAGATCTGATATAGCTAAGCAATAAAGATTCCTAAAATGAAAATTATTCCATTTGTATTTCAGTACAAGTTTGTCATAAAATAAAATCAAACTGATAGTTACCCATTTGTTGTATTTATTTAGGGTAAAGGACACATTCAATTCAGGGGTCTTAAACTGACCTTAATTAGTCATTCTTGCAAATATGCTACCATGTTTTTATTGTGACCAAAAAAATCTATACACACACTTACACATGCACACAGAGCCAGGCGGAAAAAGTGTGTTTTTGTTTTTTAAAAAAAATCTTCTGGGAAGAACATGTAAATCAATATAATAAAATAATGGAAGTATTGTATATATTCTTCAATATTTAAGATAATAGAGAATATTACAAGTAGTATAAAATTATTACTGCGGAAGTTTCTCTTCAACAACACATTCCACTGCAGGAGCCAATTTTTACAGCTCCCTCCTCAATGTTAGCGAAAACATAAACCAAAAAGCTGTCAGTTGAACAGTGAAACTGACTAAAATCCCTTTACAGGTCACCTGGCCTGTGATTGTTGCAGAGAAATGACGTCCCCAAACTAAAAGCCAAGTACTCTTTAGCAACTTAAGTATTGAGAACTGCCAGCCCCTAAAACCTGATTTCCCAAGAGATATCTGGGAAAATCGAGGAAAGGGTAAGGAAAATATGGGTGGGTAATAGAGGTGGTAGGAGAAAAATTAAGAAAATATTTAAAAATCCAAATAATGGGGAGTTTTTACTCTAAATAACAGTACTTCTCCACATATGATATTTTGAAATTACCTCTAGCCCCAAAAGTGCCAGTTGTATTTAGAAAGTGTTTGCAATTAATAAACCAAGAAGTGATTCTAATACCCTCACCACTGTAACCCACCTTAAAGGAAATCCTGCCCAGTAATTGTGTAAATGGGTATTTTCCTAACAGTTGATAGAAAGATAATTACCTAACAGGAATTTTCAAAGTTATAAAGGCAGATTATAGTTTAGAGTAATCTTATTAAAAATCAAATTCACAACATCAACAGATCCTTCCTGTGCCATGTAATTACATTACAGACACTTAATTGAAATAAACTAGAAATGAAACCTGGCCTAGCACAGGCATGTACTGATGGTTAAGACTCAGCAGGGTGGTGCTAGTTCATTACATGTAGTCTTCAGGTACATCTGGCCATTACATTTTAAGAAAATATTAAAAATAAGAACACTAACTCAATCAAATTTGTTAATATAGCAATATCCATATACAATTTCTCTTGTGTATGTAAAACACACTTGAAAACAATGATAACAAAAAGAGTTTCTGTGAACAAATTTTTTTTCCTGGTTAGAGATAAAGATTATATACAGAAAAATTAAGCATTGTAAATGATAATATGAGTTTATATAAAAATAATTAGCAAAAAAGTCCATATTACAAAAATTTCTAGGTCATATATTTTGGTTTCTCTAAATGTTAAAGTGCCTCACTTAAGCCTGCTAAACCTTCTGATGGCATCTTAAGCAGACCAGCGCTCAGTGAAAGGCCAGAGCTAGAAGGTCAGCAACATTGTTGCTAACCCAAGCACTATCTACTCCAGATTCTCAGGCTTTTTAGGAAAATAAGCCGAACAGAATTTTCTCATATTTTATCACCCCAGAGAGTGAATTTATCCAAGCCCAAACTTTACTACTTGTACCTTAAGCTCTAATAAACTAACCAGGAAAGTGTGTTTTTGTCTGGATGTCTGTGGCATTGGGTGTAAGGGGTCTGTATTTACAGGCCAATATAACAAATGGACATGTATTTGGAAACAGCTCAAGTATCCTTATTAATGAATAATCATGAGACAATCTCTTTATATAAATTGTTACACAATCCAAACAAAGAAATCCCCCTATGGGAGTGAAGTGATTTTGGGCCACTATGCCTAACCAAGCAAAGCAAGGTTGGCGCTCTCAAAGCAGTCAAAGATAATAGGTGCAGCTGCAGCATCAGCAGTGAAGGTGGAAAGAGAAGACCAAGTTACAGGCCTCCAAACAAAGGGCTGCTCATAGAAGGGATATCCTTACCTCCTGCAACAGATTTGTGAATGAATTACTGGGAATAATAACATGAGTTGATCAGATTTCAATAACATTGTTTTCTATATGATTATGCATTGCTTAACAATGAGAATACAATCTGAGAAATGTCTTGTTAGCTGATTTTGTTGTTTACGAACCTCAAGGAGTACACAAACCTAGATGTTACAGCCTTCTATACACTGAGGCTGTATGTTATAGCCTGTTACTCCTAGGCTACAAACCTGTACAGCACGTTTCTGTGCTGAATACTATAGGCAATTGTAACACCATGATAAGTATTTCTGTATCTAAATATATCTAAACATGAAAAAGGTACAGTAGAAATATAGCATTGTAATCTTATGGGACCACTACTGTATATGTGGTCCTTTGTTGATCAAAATAGCATTATGCAGCAGATGACTATTACCATTAGGCAGGTTCAAATTACATATTCAATATGTGCTATGTTAGAATCACATTTATGGTATCTATAAACTTCAGAGGAATAAACTTCAAAATTTTTGGCTGGACATAGTACAAACATGCTTATACTATGTGTATGGTAAAACAAAACTTTTTAAAATATTGCTAAAAATAGCATAAAATACTAACAAGGAAATATATAGCATCTCTCTTTTAAAAATCCTAAAATAAATGCTTTACTTAGATGTTGACTGTCTAACTTGGCACTAAAAAATTTATCATCATTTACAGCTAAATATATTTTTAATTTTCTTATGAAAAGGGAAGATGTATTAGCCTGTTCTCACACTGCTAATAAAGGCATACCCAAGACAGGGTAATTTATAAAGAGGTTTAATGGATTCACAGTTCCACATGGCTGCGGAGTCCTCACAATCATGGTGGAAGGCAAAAGAGGAGCAAAATCACGTCTTATATGGCAGCAGGCAGGAGAGAGATCATGTGCAGGGGAACTCCCCTTTATAAAGCCATCAGATCTCATGAGACATATTCACTATCACAAGAACAGCTCAGGAAAGACCAGCCCTCACTATTCAATTACCTCCCACTGGGTCCCCGCCATGACATGTGGGAACTATAGGAGCTACAATTTGAGATTTGGGTGGAGACGCAGCCAAACTATATCAGTAGACTTTTAAAAAATTTTTACAATAGATTTGCTAGAGCAATCTTCCTTCAAAATTGAAATTTATTTTTCATATAATTTTTATTTTTTTAAATTAACAATAAATCAAATCCCTGCAATATTATTTAGGACCAACAATTAGTAGAAGCACCTAAACAAATTAACTCCAACATAAAAGGAATTGACTGAGTCACCTAACTGGTGGCCTTTACTGTTGGTTTGATTCAGCAGCTCAACAATATCAACACTGAACCTAACTTGTTTTCTTCTCTCTACTCAGCCTTTTGTAGGGTCAGAATTATCCTAAGTCCCTTCTTACTTATTGAGACAAAATAGTCAAAGAACTTTTACTGCACAAGGCATTCTTCAGGAGGAGAGAGATTCTGTCTCCTGGAAAATCTCACAAAGGCTGTCAGCTTAATTTTGCCAAATTAAATCCCAAACACATTACTCGTGGCCACAGTCATACCATCTACCAATTGTCTTAGTCCTAAATTCCTGAACTAATCACTATGGAGAGAAGAATGGGACAACTCATATTGGCTTTCACTAATCAAGGGCCACTGAGGATAAAGTCAATTCCATCAAAATTTTAGTGTCTACATTACAATGAAGAGGTGGAGTCATGTATAGCATTTAATGTTTACACCAAAACTACTGCCTACCTTCTTCCTAATCAAATCCCAATTTTGACTGGATAGTGAATGGAGATCCTTTGATCTCAGGCATGAAATTGTGACCCACATCTGGTCAAGGTGATGTAAGAGTATGATTGTTGGAAAACTATTGCCTGTTTTCTATCTTTGAACTCAATCACGTGACAATAAATCTTGGAGTAACATTAGCCATCTCAACAATATAAAAGAAACCCCAGAAAAATCACTGATAGTCTCCTTCAGTATTCTTAAATCACTGTGTCACTAAATATCTGCAGCAACTCTCTCCCTGACTCTGGACTGTTATCTAACATCTACATTAAGTGTTATACAAACTACTATTAAACATCATGAATTTTGCATCTTGGTTAGAGATCATAGAAGGGAGCCTTTCAGGGTTTATTTTTATGTGGTCTATCTACTAAGACTTCTAGAAAAGGACACATCCTCTCTTAAGATGCAACATCCAAAAAACAAGTTTGTAGGTTGGTTTTGTTAAATTTGGTTTTATTTTATTTTTTAACTTTTCATTTTTAAGTAATTTTAGACTTACAGAAAAGTTGAAAAGATTAGAGTGAATTATTGTATAATCTTCACTCAACTTCCACAAATAGATCTTATAAAGTCACAGTGAAACAGAACAGTTCCCTGACTCCAGTTGCAGGATGTGTGACAGGGGCCACTGCTGCTCAAACCCCTTACAGGAGGGGGAGCATGCAGATGGGCAGGGGTGCAGGAGCCAGGGAGAGTGCTTTTGGGCTCTGGCCCCACAGTGGCATCTAAGGGTGTTTTCCTGAGACTCTTGAAGCCCCAGCTGGTGTGCTATAGTGCTCTTTTAGCTCTGCCGTCTGCAGACGGCTTATGTGTTAACCAGCTCAGTGCCATCTTGGTACCCAGATTCTTGTCCGGCGTCCAGAAAGAATAACAAGTCACACATGGACTTGAAGGATGGTGAATGCAGGGATTTTATTGGGTGATGGAGGTGGCTCTCAGAGACATGGGTGGGGAGCTGGAAAGGAGATGGAGTGGGAAGTTGACCTTCCCCTGGAGTTCAGCTGTCCCATGGCCAATCTCCTCTCTGACCCTCCCCAGCTGAACCCTTCCTGATGTTCAGATGTTCCCTCACTTCTCTCCTTCTTGGCCACACCACTCTCTTGCTCCTCTGCTCTTCTGTTCATCTGCTCATCTGCCCATCTGCTCGTGCAGCCTGGGGTTGGGGCTTATATGGGTACAGGATAGCAGGGCATGCTGGGCAAAAAGGCAACATTCTGGAATGCCTTTTCTCATTTAGGGCCAAAGGTTTCCAGGCTTGGGCGTGGGTACTTTGCTGGGGAAATGCCCCCTTCTACACAGTATTTCCATATCTCCTGCCCATATCAACAGTGTTCTTGTCAAACAACAATAACGAAAAATAAGTGTTTATAGGTGATCTGTCAGAATTTTATGTTTGTCACATAGAATGAAAGTAACCCAAGAATATAAATTCCGCGAGGCCAAGGAGCATGTCTCTCATTCCATCACTCAGTCTTTAGCATATCTCTGATACATAAGAGGTGCTTGTGTTATTCAGGATTCTTTGGGTTGCAAATAACATTTAAAAAATCAAACTAATTAAAAAAAATAAAATTTACTTACTAATAAAATGAAAACTTACCAATGTATATAAACATGTTTTTCAACACCTAAGACCAATATTCTTGCTTGTGTGCTTGTTTCTATTTTATTTTTATTTTAATAAAAACAAGAAAGAAATTACAAGACTATTAAATGACTTTGGGTTTATAATAAACAAACTCAACAAGAGTTATCCCTCCTTCCCCATGCCTGTAAAAGCATTACTAGACTTACATTTTTTCTTCAAGTTTTTCTGATATTCCTCATCTTCACTTTTTTAATTCTCCCAATTTTATGACAAAGATAGCTATTTCAGGCTTGTATTGTCTCATCTCACGAATCCCAGGGGAAAGATACTGCTTTATTCTCAATGTGTCTTTGAAAGTCCTAGGGCTGATTTTTATTGGCTTTACTTGGGTCATATGTTCATCACTGAACTAACAAGTATGGTTAAGGAGATGGGATATACCTATTGGCTGAATAATCTACTAATGTCTGAGATTACAATGAGGCAGTCAGCCCCAAGCCAAGCCACAGTGGCAGAAAATATAATTTTGCAAATTTCCTTTGGGAAACTGGAAACTCTTTGCCAAAAGAAAAAGGGAGGGATGATGAACCAGGGGAAAAAAAACTGATACACCTACTATAAAATAAAAAATATTGAATGAGTAAGTTAATGTATTTTAAATGTTCACATATACATAAGTTTGAACCCAAAGGGGAGATGCCCCCAAAATAAAAATAAAATATCAACAAGCAAATGCTGAAATTGCTGAGAGATCTGAATGGAGCCATATAAGTTCCATACATAGGCAGTATTGGCACTAGATGCTTTGGAAGCCTTGGTGGTGACAGAAAATAGACATGTGATGGCTTCTCAAATGTCTAGCCTAGACATTGATTATCTTTGTGAAAGCATTGTCAGAAAGAAGAGAAAAAAACTACTGTGAAAGACGTATGTTTTCAGGAAAAGAAAAACGAAAGGAAAAAAAATGGGATACTCCTAAAAGCTCCTAAAGAATTAAATGAGGAGATATTTGAAGAAACTAAGTTCTGAAGCTGGATGTGGATAGCCTTAGAAATGCCATCTTGTTACAGACTTTTCTGGACCCTTTTATTACTCACAAGTTGGAGTGGTAGAAAAACAGATTATACTATGTCAGCACAATACTAAAATAAAAAGAATAAGTTAATGTAAGTAAATATATATTTATGGATATCATAAATTTTGATGAAAAAGCAGACACATTGAGGCCAGCAGAAACATGGAAGACAGTGCAGTACTAATGCAGAAAAGGTAATATTTATTTCCTTTCCATCCGTATCCCTTCAGAAATAACTTATGCCATCTACTGCACTGCACTGAAGTGAATGGTCCCACATACATCATATAGACAGCCTCATTCCTCAGGCCTCAGTTGATTGGACCAGAAATGGTCAGTTGACCTAGAATAAGCTAGTCCATTGGCTGACTCAAGTAAAGAGTCAGCTATTGTTCTCAAGAATTTGAATTACAAATTTAAAACTGAAAAAGTTAAGGTTAAGACACATTAACATCAGAGTGGACACTCTGGGGAATGTCTAGGAGCTCCTACTATTAAAAGCATAGATCCATCCTAGGTGTTTCCATTTGTGAGCTTTTTCTTAAATCCCTATATGCAACAATGTTTTAAGGTATTCTCAACTTATAATGATTACACAAAATACTTAGGAACATTTTTTATTACTGGTAGTTCTTTTTTAATCACATCTCTGCAAAGACTGTATTACAATTACATTAACTTGAGAAATAGGCATCTTATTTTTTATCTTTTTTTAGGTTTTGTATTATGAAAATGTTAAATATATATATGAAAGTAGAGAAAATAAATGAATGAACTACCATGTATTCAACATTTAGCTTCCATAATTATCAATATTTTAAGTAGTAATTTTTGATTAACTTTTTAGAATTACATGAGTTTAGATTAGCCTGAAATATTCATTCTTTACAAACTTGAAATGTTTGGAAAATTAATTTATTATCAATCTACAGGCATCTAACAAATCTGACTTGTAAATGAATTTCTGAATTTTACTTCGATAACATCTGTGTTAAACTTATACACTTTTTGAACAAGAATATGATTCAGTATTTTTAATTAGGTTACTATTTGTAGGTGAAATATAATGTATCTGGTGAAGTAAACTGATATATTCATTTTGTTATCATTTCATATGTATAGTTAAAACAAGCTCCTCTATATGCAAAGGGTGTTTGTGCCCTATTGAATATATTGATCTTCACCTTCCACTTTAAGAGGACTTCATTTGCAATATTTACTCTTTTTTAAAAAGTTTTATAGTAAATTTTATGATGTTTTTAGTTTGTATTGTCTGCATTTATATGGGGTTCTAAGCACTTCTTCAGGATTAGAGAGAGTAAAAGTATCTAATGAGCAAAATAGTTATTGCTACGATTTAGGAATGTGTTTTGGTATGCAGAAGTGAGAATTAAATTTTCTATTGTTCTATGTCCTTACGTACCAGCCTTTTGGAATTAAGTATACCAATTTTGCAATCTTTTATTTATGATCATCCATTAATACATAATGCTTGGGGGAAGTACTGACTAGAAAAATCAAAAACCTGAGTTCCAGCCCAAGATGTGTGACAAAATTATGTGATCTTAGACAAGTCACTTTGCGTCTCTGGGGCTCAGTGTTTTTACCTGTGCAATGCGTGATTTAGTTTAGATGATCTTTCATTTTCTTTCAGCTCTAAAATCTGATGTTTAGCTGTGCTTTTCACAATGAATAAATAGTTGTTGTTAAAAAAAAATACCATATCCAAAGTTAAAAACCTTTCCTCTTCTCCAGTAACTTTCACTCATAGCTTAGGAAATCTGAGCTTCAAAAAGATAATTTGTAGTATATGTACTTAGGAAATCAAGGCCCAAGTATATTTAAATATTTTGATTTAGACAATATTCTCTCTCCACTCTTGAGAGGCTTTATCCTGAAAAATTGTAAAAGCTCAGCAAAAAATAGAAAAATATTTTTCAAGGATTACCTCTTATTTTAGATTACTTAAAGAACAGGGTGGGTGACTTGGATTACCTCAAAAATAAAAAGTCTGGGATAATAATTACTTTTCATATAAGCAACACATATTTGTAGAGAAGAACCAGAATTTTTTTTTAAAGTCAGGCAAAACTATTTATCTTAACATTTCATTAAACTGTGTGTATTTAACAGAAAATCTCTTTTGCCCTTTGTAGAATTTTTGTTGGTAAATTAGAAGCCAGCAAATGTTCAAGTTTGATCTCCAATGAGAAGTGGATCTATGCGTAGATACCCACACATACAGAAGTAAATGTGCTTCATGAGCACTTGAAATGTCGCTAGTGTCACTAATAAACTCAATTTTGTAATTTAATATAAATCTAACTAAATTTAATTTAATTTTAAAATTAGCTAAAAGCTTTGTAAGTATGTGTGGAATAACTTGCGGCTATAAATTCACTTTTTCAACTGTAAATGTTATGCATTTGAAATACAGATAAATTATTTCTGATACAAATTTACTGCCTAAATTGAGATATACTGAAAATATAAAATATACAAGAAGAAACAATGTAAAATATTTTATGAATATATTTTAAAATATTGACTATATGTCTTAATGACAATTTTTGAATATATTGGCTTAAAATATATATTAAAAATAATTGCATCTGTTTCTTTTTAGTTTTCAAATGTGACTACTAGAAAATTTAGAATTACTTAGGTGGGTTCTCTCATGGTGCCACACGCCTACAGTTCCCAGTTATCTGAGAGGCTGAAGTGGGAGGATTGCTTGAGTCCAAAAGTTGGAGGCTGCAGTGAACTGTGATTGAGCCACTATACTCCAGCCTGGGTGACAGAGTGATCCTCCTTCTCAAAAATAAATAAATAAATATATGAAATAACTGTGGCTCATGCCTCTAATCAGCACTTTGGGAGACTGAGAGGGGAGGATCCCTTGAGCCAGGAGTCAAGCCAGCAGTGAGCTAAGCTGTGATTGTACCACTGCAATCACACCCAATCTATCTTTGGTGACTAAGCGAGAACCCCATCTCTGGGAAAAAAAAATTACTTATGTGACTCAAACTATTTTCCACTGGATGGTTCTTATCTGAAACACTGGGTCATTTGAAGGGAATAATTTCCAAGCAGTTCTTGCTAAAATTACTCATGAATCATTCAATTCAGGTAGTGATTGAATAAAAAATGAAGCAGAACACCTGAGCTCCAGTGAAGTTATTTCTGTTAAGCAGAAAAACTAATTAAAATAATTAAAAGCATTTGAGGCTCTGTCTTTATCACTGACAATATATTTCAAATCACTGGCTGAATTTTTAAAATATATCCAGAAATTTGGAATTGGAAAAGGTCTTACCTTACCTAAATTGTTAATCTTACACAGAAGAAAACCTACTTTATGTTGAGTTTCCAAGATTATTTTAAAAGTCTGTGATCAAGTCAGGAGTAAAACTTCTAATTTTCAATCTATTCTGCTAAGATTAAATAAGTATAAGGAATTAAGAATTTAAATAATTTAAAATAGAAACTATCCAGCAAAACACATAAAAATGGGTTTTCTTAAGAGTCTCTTAAAGATCTTCCTTTATATAAATCATCAAAACAAAAAATAATTTTTTACAAGAGACTTCCTTAAAAGCATGTTTTAGTTATTTTGTAAAAAATCAGTGGCTCTTTCCCACTTTTCTCGAGTTTTATTGATAGATGTATCCTTGTACTGTATATGCAATATATTCAATATGACCATCCATTTGAATATAAGAGGCCAAAAAAGGGTTAAGATTGGGAGCAAACTTAAGGCCAAACTGAATTCAAAAAGTTGCTGATGTGAAGTACCAGGTCTCCTGGGGAAACAACACACAGGCTGCACCATTGACTTGCCAATTAATTCAAGGAGCTACATGGCTATTAGTTCAGGAAAGAGACGCTTGCTTGCCTGCTTGCCTAGAGGTAAGAGCTAGGTTTGCAGCTGACAAACAGCAGGATGACAGAAATAAATGGGGAGAGAAATTAGGAATATGAATCTAAGTATTTCATTTTCTTGCCTTGGTATCAAAGAAAACCTCAAATGTCAGCAAACTGTGGTATCTTGTATAATATACAGAAGATTCATTCATCATAAAATACTTCAAAATACAAGCAATTTTCTAAGAATCTTTAAGATAGCATCACAGAAAGTACATTCTATTAATTCCTACAAAATTCTAAAATGTGTCTTCAAGTTTAATTATGAAAAATGTGAAAATTAGGCCCATAGAACTTTGCAGAGCTATAAATAAGTTTTATATGGTATACATATGCAATGTGAATCAAAGATTCTAAATTTAATGATTATTAAAAATGCACATTTATCATTATTATTGTTATTTGTTTATTACTATCTTGTTCCATTTGGTCATATTTGTTTCTTCTTGTACACATTGAATGTCAGGGTTCAGAATTTTTAAAATTTCTACATGATTAACTTTTCTAAGGGAATTTCCATGTATGAAATGATGCAATGATGATCACTATATTTGACCCTGACACTGTGAAATTGCTAGCAGTGCATACCTGCTCTGAAGCTAATTAAGAACATCTTGAATATGCTCTTTGCAGGGGTATTTCATGGTAATCCACTGGAAAAAAATATATTCAACTGAAAGCCTTCAAGTAAATAGGTGACATCGCAACTCTGTTCTTCTAAATGTGCTTCCGTAAATTCACAGGAGTATTGGGGGTCATAAAATGCAACTAAATGAAGCCATTTAAATTATACTTAGGAAAGTATTTGTAGTTTCCACAGTTGCAGAAAAATCACTGTATAATTAGCATGCTATTTTGATACCCTAAAATGTTTTCTGTCAAAGATGCATTGCTTTATTCTACATTATTTCCTGTCTTAATTGTGGCTTGGTTCATAGCACCATACTCTGGATGAAATCTAGGCTGCAAAAAATCTATTTGGGTACCACTTTGTCCTGTACCACCCTTTTTGCACTGAATCAGAGTGAGGGGAATCTTGGGCAGTCGACAGCTTTATCACTGCTTCCGAGTTCAGGTTGGCTGGGCTCCCAAATCTCTTGGGACATGTTGGCTGCCAAAGCAAATTAGTCTCACTTTATCTTGGGGGCAGTGACTTTGCTAACTTTATTGGCTGTGTGGGGCCTAAGCCTTCTAACACCAGAAGGTGACACATTAGAAAAAAATTTAGTTAAGATATTGATCCCCTTCCCACCCAAAAATGGCATGAGTGAAAGAATAATTAGGAAAGCTATGGGGGAAAAAGAATCCAGTTAGAAAACATGAAAGAGGTCTGGGCTTAAATTGTAATTAAAGAGGCAGAATTGTAGGTTCACTATAAGAAAACTTTGACATTAGGCTAAATTTATAATCTGAAAAATATGAATGTCATTTGTGAAACAGATGAAACAATAAGTCATATCCAATCTGTATTACTAAATATGTATTTTTTAAAAGATGGTCAGGGGATGAAAACAGAACAGAAGTAATCAAAAGTAAAAATCATAGAAAAAGTGGTCAGGCTTGAATAAGTCTATTGAAGTGTTCATGTAATGCTTAACGGAAGCCTCCTGCCCAAATAACAGAGGATTATATATTTCTAGTTGTGTCTTCAGTCCCCTACATGAGTGAGAAAATTGGAGGGTTGTCTGTGTTTATACATGTGCTTATACATAAGGAAAGAGAACTCTTTATTTATTTCAAGTATATAGTTTTGGGGAAACAAATGGTGGAAAAATGTACATTATTTAAAAGTTGTATCTCACAGAAATGATTAACTGTGGGCAGTTTTTCTCCCAATTGCAAAGTTTACCTATAAATCTAAGACAGAAGTTTGGATGGTCTAATCACCATATATTCATATTTGGTAGGTCAGTGTTGGGCCTAGGATAATTTCCTTTTTAATAATACCCATCTTTAATAGCAAGAGAAGGTGCTTTCTTAGTTTCACCACTACAACTCCAGAACATTAAACAATACTTGTCCTATGATAAACAATAAATAGTTGATGAAAGCATGAGTGAATAAATTACTAACAAATGAATGAATAAATAAAGCACACATTATTCTAATGCAAATTGTCCATGAACCAATCTTTGAGAAACAATAATCTGGAGTCTTCATTCTTTAATTTAACTTTCGAGAATGTTAAAAAGTAATGATCATTTCCATAGCAGCGTATTTAGGAAATATTTACGATCCGTGACACCTACTTAATTGAGATGATTCTGGTTTACCGACACATGTTCAGAAATACTTGAATACAGTATCAATTATTTTTATAAAGAATTATTCTTCCTTAGTGATGAAGCCTTTTTTTGTTTGTTTTACTTTCAGTTGTTAATTCTGATAGTAGTGTTGAAGTTAATTGGATAGGGTGTAAACTTGCTTAACTCCATAATGATTCCTCCCTGCCAATCTTTTCATCTCCATGATTATTATCATGAATTCTCTGAACTCCTTGCCTATGTTACTCAACAACACAAAATGAATTTAGTGAGAGTAACTAAGCACTGATATGACAAGTTGATAGCAGGCCTACTAATATGATCTGCTTGTGGTCACTGATCTCAAATGTCTTTGTTACATTACAGATGAAAGACAGTGAAATGAAGAGTTAAGCAACATCAGCACCTCTGGAAAGGACTTCAGTATGTGAGAGTTTGGAATTTGAGGACTTTATATTGTGTCAGATCTCCTTTATAATTTAAAATACAGAAGATATCAAAATTGGATTTAGGGTCATTTTGATCTCCTAATAATTCTTGCTTCTCTGTTGCTAAAGAGAACCCCAAAATAAACTCATAGTACAAACAATATTGTTCTAGGAAGTATTTTAACTGCAAAAGTAACAACAATAAAGAAATAATGATCTTTTGTAAATTTTGACAAAGGGCCAGAGGTTAACATGTCATATGTAAGTTTAAAATATATATTACACAATGAGAAATTTAAAACTAATGATAAAAATGCTATAAGGATTTGGATGAAGCAGGGTTCAAATCTCATTTGAGGAGTCAAGAAATTATTAGAGGAGGAAGCACTTCAGTGACTTGTATGTAGCAGGCACCAAACAAATATTTGCTGTAGGAATGGTATTTTAATGAGATCTTCTACATTAAGCATATAATATGATAGACATTTATTATTAAAGAATTTTTAAATGACTTTTAAGATATATACCAGAATTTTAAATATAGCTGATAAGGTCCTCCATGGTCACACTTCTGCCTACCTCCTTACCTTTATTTTGAATCATGTTCTTCAAATCATCCTCGACATCTGCTAATCTCTCAAAGCATAATATCGTGTCCATACCTTACATAATGTTGTCCTATTATTCCTTTTGACCCAAGATTATCACATTAGATTTCCTCTGCGTACGTCTGGATGCAAATTTGCTTAGGGTTCTTTACAACCCTGATGATCAAGGAAGACATAGGGAAGGCAACCCTCGTTGGTATGCAATATCTGCACCTTTCAGGATTCTCAATATTGCACGAGATGGAGAGGCATCTGGCTTTGCCTTGGTGCTATGATTTTAAAAGTGGCAAAGGACAAGATACATGTTAGCCACCTGCCCCTTCTTCCTTTTTCTTTGCAAATTCTCAGGGTTTGGTACTGGGAGAATTTGGAGAAGACTATTGCAAAGGGACTTCGAATATTGCTTTAGTTTCCTCTCTGATTCTCACTTGCGTTTGGACAGCCCTTGACTGTCATTTCGGGATGAACTTTATTTCTATCCTGGTCTTTATGCTTCTGAGAGTCAAATGATGCAAGTCTCTGTTACTTCGTCACCTCAGGGGACAACAGCTTATGGGTGAGAGGAGTAAATTAAGAATTCAGCCAGAGATGGGAAGGGACAGCATTCTAGATGTGGAGCCACTGAGGAGAAACAAATTTGAATAAAAGGAATGAAAGGAGATATCTTTTTTTAAGGTGAGTTTGGCATGAAGATTTGATGTATGCTAGGAAAAAATGAAATGTTAAGAAAGGTTTAGACAAGGTCATGGGAATAGAGACTCTTACGTTTTGATAAAGTAACCACAGAGTCCATCTTGAGTTCAAAGTCAGTTTATATCCCTTCCCCCTTCTCATCCCTGCCCTTCCATGTTTTGAAAGACATATACAGGAATTGAATGACTTGACATATAACCACAAAACTGACTAGCACATGCCATCCCATTGGAGATGAAAGATATCACTGACAAGGTACAATAATGGGGTCAAATGACAGCCTCCATCGAGAAGTTATATTTTTCTTGAAAGTTTATTTCCCAGCAGGTGACCGCCTTCAAATAATCTCCAATTGCATTTACCATATGAGTAATGACCATTTATCTTAATATTCTATTATCTCAGTGGTCTCCAACTCATTCTATTTTAAAAGTAATCTTGTCCACTTTCTACAACATGGTCCAATCCTTTCTTTAGAGCATGCAGGTATGGATCTAACTACCCAAAGAGAAAAAGATTAGATAATATCCCCAGTGTGGATTCAGAAATACATTAGGTTATAAGAAAATTGATGGATAATCTCTACCAATAAAGATCAAGTAACTCAGGAAGTCTTTTGGTTTTTATTTTACTGCTTTTTGTTAGGTCATGCTCATTCTTCACTGTGCACAGATTTATTTACCTAATAGTGTGCTGTTCATGCTTGAAATAGCAGAATAGAAGTACTCCCAGCACAAAAGTGAGTGTGCGATAAGCCTCATCTCCAGTAATAGCACAGTTGTGAAACTAGAAGCATTCCTTACTTACTGAAAATTGAACAATAGTGTCACTGTAAGAGTGATAGTTGTGTACTTTGGGATTGGAGAGACATGAAAATCATTTTTAACTCAAAATAATTATGAATTGCTAGGTGAAAAATACCAATAAATATTTTTTCCTCTGAAAGATCTGTATCTTCTTAATACTATACTCACATCCTGTGTTAACAGGTTCATGCTTAAGTGGTCAACATGATCATAAATCAAAAGTTTACCATTTAAATTGTCAGGTTGATTCCTAACACTTTTGTCTATCTTATCTCTTATCTCATCCATTCTTAAGCGATCATTTCTTGGATAATAAATAAACAATTTTTCTATGTGTTCAACTGCTTAGCTTTACTACATGTAAAAGTGAAAATCCATTTAGCATAAATATTTGCATTTATAGAAAGATTTGTTTGGCCTTCTGGACTCTTACGGTCAAGAAAAATTATTTTAGTTACTTCAGGCAAAAATATTAAGATCATAGTGATCTTTATTTTATCATAAATAGCAAAGCATTACAAGCTTAAAAATTGATCCTAGAAGCAACAAACTAGAGACTGATTAGAATTTATTTTTAAAATGAGTGTTCTAACTAATGTGATTTAAAAAATAGAGAATAGACATAGTGAGTGATACTGATATTGAGAGATATTGGGGTGATAAGTAGAAAGATTTGATAATTGACTGGATCAGTAGGACAAAATAAAAGCAAAACATACAATAATAATTGTTTCATCATTTCTGCTTACTTGTGGATAATGGCTATTTGGGGATAATAAGAGGTTATATCTGCTACTTTGTGTATCACTAATACAAAGATGAAATCTATAGAAGGGAATGGTTTGATAATTAAAAGTATATGCTTGTTTAGAACATGTGAAATTTGATATATTTCTGAAGAAACCGCACAAAAATAACTTCAGCCCAGACCTTTCCTTTCAGTTCCAGATTCAAGGTCCAAGTGCCTGGTTCACATTTCTTCTCAGGTGTCTGGAGTTAAAAGGAAAACATGAGCAAAACATTACTCCTGTTCTTCTCCTGGTTCTCTTCCATTGTTTCTAAATCAGAAATGGCAAGTCAGCAACCGGGTTGTAAGATTTAGCAAATAAATTTGAATTGTGTGTGTGTGTGTGTGCGTGCGTGCATGCATGTGTTATATCTCTCAAATATTGCATGAGTCATACACTAAAAAAGTTATTGTTTATCTGAAATGCAAATTTCACTAGGCACCTTTTATTTTATCTGACAACTCTCTTCGGAAGACTTCATCATCGAACCTCCTTTCTCTTACTGCCACTTCCAAATCAGTACATCACTATGGCTTAGCCTGCTGTGTGATTATCCTTTATCTAGACCACCTCAGTGGGTTTCTTCACTGTTCTGTACCTCTGTTGGCTCCCCCAAGTGTTTTCTCCAATCTGTACCTAGTATTACATTTTCAAACTGAGCGTCTGTCATACCACACCACTCCTCACATTGCTTAAAAATTTGCTCTTAGGATACAGATAAAAATTCTTTGTCACAGCTTACAAAGGACATTAAGCTCTGTCATCTCCTAGCTAGCTTCATCTCACATGTGCTCCAGCCACACTGGCCTTTTTCAGATACAAACAAACCAGGACATGCTCGCTAATGACCTTTAAACCTGTGATTTTCATTGTCTGGAACACCATATCTCTCCTTTTCACCTACTTAATTTCTACTAAAAGTCTTTACATCTCACTTTAAACATGACTTCCAGCAACAGCCTTCTCTAGGTCATGCTCTTATAACATACTTGCTCATACCCTTTATCACATATTTAATTTTACATTAATTTGTGTGATTATTTGAATTCTAGTTTTCCCATAAGAATTAAGGAACCGTGATGGCAATGGCTATCTTGCTTTTCCTCACTATTTTGTCTCCAAAGATAAGCCTGAAGGTATATGTAGCTACCACTGAATAACATTAATTGGTTAATGTCTAGTAGACATTTAGAAAAAGGAATTAACACTGGCCAGGTAGGCTAGGAAGAGATTTGAAATGGTTCATTCTTAAAGAGTCTAGGTAATTTATTTAGAAATAGTAAAAATAGAAGGAGGAAAGGTAAAAAATTAACCATGAAGATTGTTTATATGCAGGAATCATGAAATTGGTTAAGAACTATGAAGGGAAAACAGAAAAAAATGATCATCTAAGTAAGGAAACAAAAGCTTCAAGTAGTGGTTGATTTGCATTTTTAAATACTAGGGAAAGGAAAAAGAATGAAAACTGGTACTAACGTATCAATTAAGAGGTTATTTGTGATCTTGCATAGATAATTAAAAAAAAATAGTGGGATAAAAAGCCAACCGCGAAATAGTAAGGAGTAGAAGATGGCAATATAATCAATGAGGTTTAGGTTCCTATTTTTGAAGGATATGTCCTTTAAACTCTTTGAGTTGTTGAAATAGATTTCACTATGCACGATCTGTAGACATGATTCTGTAATGCCATTAGATCTGTAAATGAAAACATTTGTAATTACAAATTTCCACACATAGGGATAAAGAAAATATTGAACAGTTATTTAATACATCCTGTGTGTGCCAATTTATATTCAGACATTTTTCTATAGAACAGTAAAATCTTTCCGCTGTCAGCATATAGCCAAGGCACAAGCTCACTCTCCTTCTACCCAACTAAATCTCTCTTTTTTTTCTTTTTCTTTTTTTTTTTTTTTTTTTTTTTGAGACAAGGTTTCACTCTATCACCCAGGCTGGATCTTGTCTCATATGATTTCATCATCCCACCGCAACCTCTGCTTCCCGGGTTCAAGCTATTCTCCTGCCTCAGCCTCCCAAGTAGCTGAGACTACAGCTGCACCCCATCACACCCAGCTAATTTTTGTATTTTTTATAGAAATAGGGCTTCACCATGTTGCCCAGGCTGGTCTCAAACTCCTGTGCTCAAGCGATCCACCTGCCTTGGTCTCCCAAAGTGGTGGGTTTACAGGCGTGAGCCACCGCGCCCGGCCCTAAACCTATTTTTTTTTTTTTTGATGGAAAGTGCTCTTCAACTGTTACACAATTACAAGAAAACATATTGGACAAAAAACTTTCATTAAAATGGGTCCAAAAATTCTTGTACAATGAGAAAGATTGGGATGAATGATTTTTAATCATTTAAAAAGCATACTTGACAAGGAAAAAAATTGCAAAATCCTTATGTATCTAACCTGGAGTATGTGTCCTAATATCAAGCAAAATATGTGCACCATTCATGTACTTAGTGTGATTACGCCTTATTACGGTTTTTGAAGAGCCATGATATTTATTAGTTTTTTTAATCATTTTTTCATGAAGTATTATTTTCCTTTTGCTGTTTCACCAAATGCAACATCTGAGTTAGATTAAAACCGGGTGGTTGGCAGGAACAAAAATAAAAAATAAAAAGTGTTAAGTGATCATATGTTAGCAATAATGCTGTCTCGAGACATCATTTCTCACTATAATTTCTTTGAGGGAGATCCTTTGTGTACCTCGGTAGTTTTCAACTGCTATTTAATGCTACCCTTGGAATGGTTAAAGAGGGGACACTGTAGAGACAGCTCTGTCTCTCTTTTAAAAGGATCCACACTTTCCTAAAAGCCAAATGATATTAAATGCCCAAGGATGAAAAAGCTGTGGACACTATTGAAAAAACGTTCACTTTGCGATAGTTTCTCCAGCCTCCCTCAAAGTGAACCAGAAATGAAAATTCAGCACTACACCATTTATCCCTTTACATATTGTTATGTGAATGAAGAATTATTGCACAGAAAAGCATCTTTACTTTTACTGCTATTGCCATATGCCTTCCGTGAGAAAATATATCTTTCATTATACTACTGTAAATTGGTGTTTTAAGATGTGCTTTAAAAAAAACTGTATTATGCCTTGAAAGTACATAATAACCATGTTAAACAACTTTATTTTTCCAAGAAATGGTGCATTTTGCGTTACCTACTGTAATCATTTTGTATTTAACATGAATTGAACAGACACTCTCCTTCAGATGAACTTTCTGGTGACAAACTTTGAAATTGATAGATTAAAGCTGATTTGGGATTGTCAAAATATTGTATAGCTATCTGCACAAAATATGCATAAAATTTTACAGATGGTGGACTGCTGGTTTACATGGCAGCTATGTTAGTATATCCACGGCCGGTTAAATTAATAGTGTCACAATCTATCTTCCATGGCAGGTGTAAATGACTTTTAGCACATCAATAACTAGTTTACAATGATGTCCCTTCGCTACTTAAGGTTTGCCATTGATTTTTTGTTTTGTGCAAAATAGCACACATATTATCTCCGTATTTCGTTGTAGAATATTTTAAAATAAACCCAACATTTACAGACTTGTAAACAATCTATAAAAATATCAGACTTAGTCAATTATAAAATTATCTTCTAATTATTCCACCTGAAAATAGGGATTCCAAGTTACTAACTTGCATCTTACATGGATTGGCATTGAAAGTGAACTTTTAAGAAGACTCTAATATGTAAATGAACTTATGTAAAACATATTCCTAAAATAGCTGCTATTATAATCTGGACAGTTCAATGATTTGGAAGTTATTCTTTGATGAATATTAAATTAACTGAACAACTCTTCATGGCTGAAATACCCTTTAGTAAAGGCTACTGATTTCATGATCACCATCAACATTGCTATTATTATTCATAACACCTTAAATTTGTATAGCACTTTACAATCCAAAAAGTATTTTTACATATAAAGTAATCCCTCTCCAATTTTAGTTCTTATTATATGAATTTCAAATATATGCAAATCTATTTCTATATATTTTTTGCAACTACTAGAATATCAGTTCCACTCACTTCTATTGAAGATCATTTTGAAAACGGAAACTGGGTGTTGGGAACCTCAAAAGGAAGTTAAAGTGGGTTGTCTTGAAATAGAGATTCTTACAATAGAATCTTTGAAAAGATAAAGAGAGAAAAGGAAAAACGATTCAAATCAGAAAACCACATTCAGATGAGAAAGGAAATGGATTGATGGCAAATGCTTTGACAGGAAGTTATTTGTGTGCAATTGCAAAAAATATGAAACCCAGGCTACAAAGGAGGCAGTCTGTGAAATACCTACTCGGTGATGTTGAGGAGGGCACATAAAGTGATACGAGCCATTCTGTAGCTTAAACATCCAAGTCACTCTGTGTCATAGTCCAGTTTCAGAAGTGGGAGTTGTGAATCAACAAATTTAAGTTATAAAAACACAAAAACATCAAGTATTTGGTGGAAGGCACAGATATAGTAGAGATTTTTTAAAAGTTACCCAGTGTGCTTATTATGTAAAAAATGAAAAACTGATTACGAACATCTCCTTTAAACTGCAGAGAAGAACTCTAAAAGTTTCTAGAGAGTGCAAAAAGATTGATGAAAATGGTATAGTACTCATTATTACTACTTTAAAACGTGTAAGATGTCATTGGTATTTTCATATTGATAGCTTAGTCTAATGTGCTGGCTTTAGGTTTGTTTCTGAAGAAATATTGATTATATCTATAACTCCAAACCTCAGTCCACAATTCTATTTTATTTTCCTTTCCAATTGTTAATTTAAAACTACTGAGAAGATTTTGTTAAGATTCACCACCATCTTTTTAGTATAAATTTAGCTTCTCATGTTTTTCTCTGATTTTCACATTATAAATGGGAAAAAAATACAATAAAAATAAGAAATTAAACTAGAAAGCCTACATTCAAATTTGATCCCTAGTAGGTAGGAATTCTACATCCCCAACAACAATTCTGTAGTAGACTCTTACTTCAGTGGTGCCAGATGACTTAGACCTCTAGATATTCACATCCTTCTGTGGTCTCTTCTCACACTGACTCTGGGTTTGGTCGTGTGACTTGCTTTGACCAATGGGACATTAGTAAGAATGAGGCAAACAGAGGCTTGTTAAAACATTTGCACACTGAAGATTTGCTCCTTAGAAGATTTGTTCTTGGAACCTAGAAACCACCACCTTTTGAGTTAGCCGAAGCTGGATGCATAGAGTAGCTACATGGAGGAGACCCTAGAAATTAAATCAATATTTATAGCCAATGACCCACACATATTGCCCCATTCAAGCTGTCCCAACTATGCCTTAATCTTTCCTGAAATCCCAATTAAAGATCTTGACACTGTGGAACACAACTGGGAGCAAATAAGATACTGTTTGTTTTAAGCCACTGAGTTTAGGGTGGTTTGTTATGCAGCCATAGAGACTTTTAACGGTACTTGGTGAGTTTTGAAATGTAGATGATGATATAACAAAATATCAGTAATTGTAGACATTAAATATTAACAAAAGTCTTAAAAATGGCCTCTAATTACACATCACTTTTTAATTTCAATTGCACTTGCTAAAGCATAGTTTTAGTTTAGCTTAAAAACAATAAAAATTATACCTCAGCTACATCAATTGGCATAAACATTATGCATTCTTTGGTGTATTTTAATGTATGGGAATAGTAGATCTTAATAATTCTAATGCTTACATGTCCTAATTCTTGTCAAGAACATCCTAAAGGAAACATAAGAGGTTTAAATTTTAGTGTGAAGAATGTTTGAAAAAAAATGAATTATATTTCGTGACAATTCCATTAAAGCTTTAGACATAAAAAATTGTTTTCCGTTTGTAGAACAAACATATTTATTCAACACTCTTCAGTCACTAATTAAATTTTGGTGGCCTGTGTTGTCAAAGATATACTTCATATATGATTCAAGAGCAAATATTCCTGCATGATTATCAAAAAAATTAATTCAGTGTATTCGATCACATTTCTTTTTTTTTCCTTTTTTTATTATTATACTTTAAGTTCTGGGATATAGGTACAGAACGTGCAGGTTTGTTACATAGGGATACATGTCCCACGGTGGTTTGCTGCACCCATCAACCCGTCATCTACATTAGGTACTTCTCCTAATGCTATCCCTCCCCTAGCCCCCCACCCTCTGACAGGCCCTGGTGTGTGATGTTCCCTTCCCTGTGTCTATGTGTTCTCATTGTTGAACTCCCACTATGAGTGAGAACATGCAGTGTTTGGTTTTCTGTTCCTGTGTTAGTTTGCTGAGAATGATGGTTTCCAGCTTCCTCCATGTCCCTGCAAAGAACATGAACTCATCTTTTTTTATGGCTGCATAGTATTCAATGGTGTTTATGTGCCATATTTTCTTTATCCAGTCTATCATTGATGAGCATTTGGGTTGGTTCCAAGTCTTTGCTATTGTGAACAGTGCTGCAATAAACATACGTGTGTATGTGTCTTTATAGTAGAATGATTTTTAATCCTTTGGGTACATACCCAGTAATAGGATTGCTGGGTCAAATGGTATTTCTGTTTCTAGATCCTTGAGGACTCACCACTGTCTTCCACAATGGTTAAACTAATTTACACTCCCACTAACAGTGTAAAAGCATTCCTATTTCTCCACATCCTCTCCAGCATCTGTTGTTTCCTGACTTTTTAATGATCACCATTCTAACTGGCATAAGATGGCATCTCATTGTGGTTTTGATTTGTATTTCTCTAATGACCAGTGATGATGAGCCTTTCTTCATATGTTCCTTGGCCGCACAAATGTCTTCTTTTGAGAAGTGTTCATATCCTTCACCCACTTTTTGATGGGGTTGTTTGTTTTTTTCTTGTAAATTTGTTTAAATTCCTTGTAAATTCTGGATATTAACCCTTTTTCAGATGGATAGACTGCAAAAATTTTCTCTCATTCTGTAGGTTGCCTGTTCAGTCTGATGATAGTTTCTTTTATTAGTGTTAATTTTTTCTGTGGGTGGAAATTTGTTTCTAAATCCTTATAATGCAGCAAATATATTTTGACATGAATAAAAAGAAAAAAATTCGTAGATTACTAATACTCTACCTATAATTGCCATATATTTTTTGTGATGCAGAGGATAAAAATTGGGTGGGGCACACTTTTTATTATTTAAGAGAGAGAAATATCAGTGATGACCTAAGAATAAAAGAAAATCTGTAAGATTTCTTGATGTTTTATAATTTCCTGAACCTATGAAAATGATACAGAATTTAGTCATGGATTTCATAAAGAATGTATTTTTCATACACCTCCTCTCCTGCCCCTCGAAAAACTTGGGAATTTGTCATTCTTATTTCTCATTCGTTTACATTTGTTTTATGTTATTTATAATGCTTTGGGGAAAGCTGTGACTTTTGACAGTTGAAAATGAACCAAGAGAGAGAGAGAAGAGGCTGCTGAATTTAGAAATATGAATTTAATCCAACATAAACAGAAGTAACATTCAAATTCACATAATTTCACAGTAAAATTTTGCACATTGGAGGTGCTACCTATCAACGATCATCTGCATTCATCAGGACGTGTCTCATGACAGGTAAAAGGAGTATATTACTAGCAATCTCATCAATTGAAATTAAAACCAATTCATAAATAATGTAGCTTAATTTTTACAAAAGCTAAAGAAGCTGCTAACTTACAGTAGAAAAGAGGTTTTGTATATTACCAATACTTTATTTACTTCAGTTAATATTGCTAGAACTGAGGATTCAGGGATTCTCTGCACAAATCATTAATACTACATCAGCATCCCATTGATATGAGGGCAACACAGTAAGTGACAACTTGTCAATGCAATCACCTTGTTATTCTTCAACATCACTACTCACCACTCGGGCAGAATCAATAATGGGTGATCCACAATCATCATTAAAACTAAAGAACTAATAAAGTGAACTCAGCCAAACCAATTTATATAACTTGGACCAGCTTCTGTATTTTATACTTTAAAAGTGATTTCTTCTATATTTTGTTTAATATTTTATGTAATGATATAGTACACAAAGATATGAACTTATTGGAGCAATGTTCACTTTACATTAAAGTTCTGAATTATCAAACAAATATGTTCAACTGAATACAATTTTTCCATTCCTTGTTGTTACTTGACCTTGATATTTTTTAAAGAATATTTACATCACGTAGTTTTTAAAGACTTAAAACTAATCAAACATGTCTAATGTTTTTCTTATTCATTAAATTTATAAAAACAAATTCATGATATATAAGCTTCTGACATAATGAACTCTATCTTTAAGCCTTTCTTGTAAATCAATATATGTTCTAACATAAAGGTCTCTTTTTGTTATTGTTTTCTTACATGATCCTGTGAAAAATTGAATGCCTCTATAAATATAAACATGAACATAAATAAATACAATTATATATACGTGTGTATGTGTGTGCGTGTGCGCATTGGACATTTTGGGTTAATCCTTGGGAATACTAGGAATCTCTTATTACTTGTGCATTAAGGGCAACAATAGAGTGTTGAGAGAGAGAGAGAGTGAAAGGGCCAGAAAGAGATATTCTGGGGGGAAACTAGCAAAGTCTAGCAGCTATGCGTTAATTCAGAATTGGGGGAGGGGGAGTTAGCAAGTAAAGACATGGAAATATTGTGAACGTAGTGAAACATTGTCTCTAGGGTAAAACAGGAAGAGAAATGGCCATAAAAATTTAAAGGGCACTAGAAATGTACTCAGATGCCAAAGGGAATCTGTGGAAGAATTTATTGGATTCTCTGCATGAGAAATTTAAAGTTCAAATACAGCATCTCTGGGTTTATTGACTGATTTGTTAAGTGAATAAGAGATGCCTTTTGTGTTTTCTTCCATAGACAAACAAATGTATCACATATTTAGGAACAAATACAAGGCTATATACCCCCATATAAAACAGATACATTTATGATAAATTCAGATACAGAAGAGTTTTAATTTGAACACATTACATAAAATATAATTTCTGTAGAATTTGTGGTGGCTGACCCACTAATACTATTTAAGAAACAAAATACTAATATTTTATTCAGTAATGTATGTATTTCTGAACCACTTACTTCAGGTATAGAATAACCAATCATATGCCATAATGCTTGTGAAAACAAAAATTGCACTAGACAAAGTTAAACAGGCAAGGCAGACTTTATTCTAGACTAGCGGAATACAGGAGAGAGACCAGAACTCAGCCTGACGTTGATGCCATTGAAACAAAGAGCTGAAGTTTTCAAGACTTTAACAGCTAGAGTAGGGAGTGGGAGGGGAGCATAGGCTACCTATGTGTGATTACTGGCCTTACCCAGAGGAAAAGTAAACTTTCTCATATATTCAGGCAGGAAGTAGTTTTACAACTCAGAGCAAAATGCCCACTGAAATTAGGCTCCCATCCTGCTGGAGAAACTGGAGGGATAGGGATGCTATCTTCCTTGCTGAGTACATTCGAAGGGATGGCTCCCAAGTCATTGAGAGAGACATTCCTAGGCTATAAAACTGGCAAGAGGCTTTCTAAAAGATTTACATCTCAAATAAACAGAGAAAGAATTTACAGTGATAAGTTTTCTTAAGTAAATACTTTAAGAAAATGGAGATCTGAGTGAGGAAGAAGCCTGTCTAGAATTTAATTATGTTGAGAGGTGTGTTAATGCCATCTTTTTCATGCCACAAAAATATTTTTTTTATTTTTAAATGATGGCTTGCTATACATTTCTCTTCCTTTTTCTTTTCATTTTATATTGATTCCCACACTAATTCTTAATATTTAAATGTACAATTTTCTCAATTATGAGTAAAAACACAATCTTATCTCAGAATAAAGGTCTATAATTTCTGGATCTAGTAATATCTTTTATGAATCTATTATCATGAGAGAATTTTAATGATATAATCATTTTCTACTAAAGTTTTGCTAAAAAAAACAAACATCTATAAAGCAAATCAACCTATCCTAGTTCCTAAACACTCAGAAGAGATGTAACTTCAGTGTGTGTGTGTGTGGTATCTGCTTCTCAAAAGTCCCACCAATTTACTTGGAGAAATAATTTGAGTATCTTAACATAAGATAAACTGACAGTAAAACCTTTTAGAAAACATAATACTAAAAAAGGTAGAAAAGAAGATTAGATTAACTCTTTTTCTTTTCATTTTAAAGTTTCTATCTAGGCATAATATAATTTTTGTATTACGGAAAAGTACCTCACAAAAACTTTTTTAAACTTAACATTATATTAAAAGGAAGTTGAAACCTTGTGATTATAAAAATTACTGTCAATTACAAAATACACTATACTATATGTTAGCTGAATTCAAGTTTGTTAGTTGGCCTTGTTTTGCTCCTGGCTTTTGATATCTAAGAAGGTAGGGTAGAGGATCTAAAGTGTCTGAGATATCAGAGTGGTATGTGAGAATGAGGTCAGGAGCTTTTCATTCTACACAGGGCTCCCTGCCACCAGCTATTCCCATATTCTTTGTTAGAACATTCCGCTCTTGGGTCCTTTTGAAAATTATTATATATGATGAGAGCCATTACTAAAGTCATGCTTTGTGTGTAAATCTTGCAGACACATGACAGGGAGTGGACACTGAAAAACAGTATTATGAAACAGTACTTGGCACACAGTAGGCCTTCAATAATTACTTGCTGCATGGATGAGTAGCCTCATATGACAAATAGTGAAGAAATTTAATATAGGTAAGAATTGCCAATCTTATTTCTATTAAACTCAGTAAATACTTTTGAACACTTAGTAAGTTCCTGTCATTCTTATGCATGATACAAAATCTCTCAACTTATCACAGAAAACTTCAGTTGAAGACACTAAATTGGTCTTCAAGGTGTTATTTAAGAAAGCTGGAGTGTCTGCTCCCCACCTTGTATAATGGGATGAATTCAAAGTGATCCATTCTGCTTGGGAGACAAAGAGAGTCAGATTGCACTGTAAATCGAGTGACACAAAGTTCTTCTCAGCTTATACAGCAGCCTATTTGTATAAACTGGCTTAGAAATTAGTAAAATACATACTCTATTGTGAAGTAATGGATTTTTTCAAGGAGTAGGGTCAAAGTCACATTAATGAAAGGGATGTGCCTTCTTCATGAGACCAGGCTATGTTGAGTCTTATGGTAAGTGTTCCTGCTTTCAAGTTACTCTTGCAGAAATTTTCCAGGGCTCTCTATACTACTCACATTGTATCTTACCCCTGACAGAATCCAAGTTCATAAAAAAGGAGAGGAAAAGCCTGAGACTGAAGCCTAGGAAAAGTGGAGAACACAAGAAATACTGGTATATTTTGGACACAGAAAGATCCTAATGAATCAAATATTAGAGGTTAGAGATGGTCTTAGAAGAGAATGGGGTGTGTGTGTGTGTGTGTGTGTGTGCACCCATGTACACTTGTGGTGTGTGGAGAGGCAGGGCAGGGAAATTTTAGAAGCACTGATTAAGATCTGGAAGAGAGGCATTACGTAGAGAAGGCCTAAAGCTATTAGCCCTGCTCCTTTTTGGTACAAGAGCATGAATTAGGTCATAACACAAATCTTGCCCTTTTATTTTTCTTTTTGGTCACTCTGCAATATACACCTATTAGGATTCAATCTGAGTTCAGTTTAAAGAAAGAGAAAGTTGGGAAATAGGTGGTACCCACTTCCTAACCACTCTGAGTAGCACCCTTTCCCCAATGTTTATCCCTAGTGGAAGCTTGATACTGAATAAATAAAAGAGAATCTCCACATCTATCATAAGTATCTTATAGAAAGCCCAAGAATAAAGGAAATCCTTTGCTTCTGTCAGAGGCATGTGAACCAGAGCAACTCCATCTTAAATGGGAGCTGGATAAAATTAGGCTGAAACCTACTGGGCTGCATTCCCAGATGGTTAATTCATTCTAAGTCACAGATGAGATAAGAGGTCAACACAAAATGCAGGTCATAAAGACCTTGCTGATAAAACAGTTTACAGTAAGGGAGCAGGCCAAAACCCACCAAAACCAAAATGGCCATGAGAGTGACCTCTGGTCGTCCTGACTGCTACACTCCTACCAGCGCCATGACGGTTTAAAAATGCCATGGCAACATCAGGAAGTTACCCTCTAAAAAGGGGAGGCATGAATAATCCACCCCTTGTTTAGCATAACATCAAGAAATAACCATAAAAATAGGCAACCAGCAGCCCTCGGGGCTGCTCTGAATATGGAGTAGCCATTCTTTTATTCCTTTTCTTTCTTAATAAATTTGCTTTCATTTTGCACTGCAGACTTGCCCTGAAATCTTTCTTGTGCTGGATCCAAGAACCCTTTCCTGGGGTCTGGATGGGGACCACTGTCCAGTAACATTACCAACAGTGAAAGAGAAACAAAGGAGGAGTTATCAAAGAAACTGTAAGCTGATAGTACTCCTAGTTTTAAGTGCCTAACCAGCCTGGCAACATTTGACAGTTCTCTTTTCCTTTTTTTCTCTATTTTTCCTATATACCAGTTCTTTTCCCATCTTCTCATACAGTAGTATAATCCCTAGTCAATTCTAGCTGTTGATATGATTTAGACAAAAGATAAAAAATGAATCATCCACAGTTCTGGCCTTCCTGGTGGTTACTTATATTCCCCAAAGAGCTTGTTAACACAAAAGGATTGAGTTGCCAAGTGGATGAAAATGTGAGCAAGAAATATATGCTCTTCCTCCTCCTATTCTTTTTTTCTTAACCCCACCACCCATCCCTTAGCTAACTGAAGTAAGCTCAGCAGGGATTTAACATGCTTCTTAGCAGCTCCTAGCTATAGCAACTCTTCTTTATGTACCCAAATGTCTCATCACAAGGAATATGGAACTTCTATAAGGAAAGTATATAGATGAGAATTTCTTGCAGAGTTATTCAGAATTACATAAGATGAAAGATAACACAAAATTATTTTGAATGCACGTAAAAGTATATATTTGAAGTAAGGAGAAATAAAAATTAAATATCAGATAATAAACAAATACATCCTTTCAATGGTTCAAAAGGGTAGGGATTGAGAAATTTAAAAATTCTTCCTTGAAACATGTTAACAATAATAGTGTATATGAAAGCACATTGTAAACCGTAAAACATTATACTGACTTTACCATTATCTATTTTGATCTCTCCAAAGCTATAATTTTCTTCTTTATTTTCACGTTGTTTCCATGAACAGTTCTTTGCCCTACTATTCATTCTGTATTAATGCCTCTTAATTATCTATCCCTAGTCTGAGAGATACCTGAGGTATCAAGAAGCAGCTGCACACTTGAACCAGTTGAAAAATTAAACTTTTTATTAAGAAAATCAGTAACAAAAAATAGATTCCTTTTAGTCTTATATCAATTAGTATATAGCATCTGTATAACTTTTTCTAGAAATCTATATAGTACTTTATCATGAAGTTCATTAAACAGTTTTAAATTACAGACATAACCTCATTTTATCACACTTCACTTTATTGTGTTTTCCAGGTATTACAGTTTTTACAGATTGAAGGTTTGTGGCAACCCTGCATTGAGTAAGTCTGTTGGCACCATTTTTCCAACAGCATGTGCTCATTTCATGTATTTGCGTCACAGCTTGGTAATTTCCATGCTATTTCAAAGTTTTTAATTATACTTATATCTGTTTTGGTGATCTATGATCATTGATCTTTGATGTTACTATTATAACTGTGCTGGGCTGCTACAAACCATGTCCATATAAGACAGTGAACTTAATAAATGTTCTGTGTGTTCTGACTGCTCTACCCACCAGGCTTTCCCTCATCTCTCTCCCTCTCATCAGACCTCCCTATCCCCTGAGACAAAACAATATTACAATTAGGCCTCTAAGTGTACAACTGAAAGGAAGAGTCATGTGCCTCTCACTTGGAATAAAAAACTAGAAATGATTAAGCTTAGTGAGTAAGACATGTGGAAAGCCAAAAGAGACTGAAAGCTAGGCCTCTTGCACCATACAGTTAGCCAAGTTGTGAATACAAAGGAAAAGTTCTTGAAGAAAATTAAAAGTAGTTCTCTGGTAAACATACAAATGATAAGGAAACAAACCAGCCTCATTGCTGATGTGGAGAAAGTTTGAGTGGTCTGGACTGAAGATCAAACCAGCCTCAACATTCCCTTAAGCCAAAGCCTAATCCAGAACAAGACCCTAAATTCTTTAAATTCTGTGTAAGCTCAGAAAGGTGAGGAAGCTGAAGAAGAAAAGTTGGAAGCTAGCAGAAGTTGGCTCATAAAAGAACATACAAAGTGAAGCAGCAAGTGCTGCTGTAGAAGCTGTAGCAAGTTAACCGGATGATCTAGTTAAGATATTTAATGAAGGTGACTGCACCAAACATATTTTCAATGTAGATGAAAGAGGTTTCTATTGGTAGACAATGTCATCTAGGAATTTCATAGCTAGAGAGGAAAAGTCCATGCCTAGCTTCAGAGCTTCAAAGAACAGTCTGACTCTCTTGTTAAGGGCTAATGCAGCTGGTGACTTTAAGCTGAAGAACTACATTAAATCTACTCTGCCTGTGCTCTACAAATGAAAGAACAAACCCCAGATGGCATCATATCTGTTTACAACATGGTTTACTAAATATTTTAAGCCCTCTGTTGAGACCTGAGGCTCAGAAAAAGAACCCTTTCAAAATATTATTGCTCATTGACAATTCACCTGGTCACCCCAAAGCTCTGATGGAGATGCACAGAAGATTAATGTTGTTTTCATGCCTGCTAACCCAACATCCATTCTGCAGCTCTTGATCATTTGTATCAAGGAGTAATTTTGATTTTCAAGTCTTATTATTTAAGAAATACATTTTGTAGGGCCATAGCTGCCATAGATACTGATTTCTCTCATGGATATGGGCAAAGTGAATTAAAAATCTGGAAAAGATTCACCATTTTAGATGCCATTAAGAACATTTGGGATTCATGGGAGGAGGTCAAACTATCAACATTTACAGGAATTTGGAAAGTTTACTCCAACACTAATGGATGACTTTGAGGGGTTCAAGACTTCAGAGGAAGTAATTGCAGATGGGGTGGACAGAACAAGAGAACTAGAATTAGAACTAAAACTGAAAATATAAATTACCACAGTCTCTATGATAAAAAAAACAAAACAGATTTGTTGCTTATTATGAATGAACAAAGAAAGTGGTTTCTTGAGATGGAGTCTACTCCTGGTGAAGACACTGAACATTGCTGAGATGACCACAAAGGATTTAGAATTGTACATATACTTTGGTGATAAAACAGTGGCAGGGTTTGAGAGGACTGAATCCAATTTTGCAAGAAGCTCTACTATGGGTAAAATGCTATCAGACAGCATTGCATGTCACTGAGAACTTATTCCTGAAAAGAAAAATAATAAATAGATGCAACAAACTTCATTGTTGTCTTAAAAAACTGCCACAGCCACCTAAATCTTTGGCAACTACCGCCTGATCAGCCAGCAGCCAATAACATGGAGGCAAGACCCTCTGCCAGCAAAAAGGTTACAACTCTCAGAAGGCTCAGATGATTGTTAGCATTTATTAGCAATAAAGTATTTAAAATTAAGATATGTACAGTTTTAGACATAATGCTGTTGCACACTTAATGGAGATCAGTATAGTTAAACAACTCTTGTATGCACCAGGAAAACAAAAAAATTGTGTGACTTGTTTTTTTATGGTATTTGCTTCATTGTGGTGTCCTGGAATTGAACCCACAAAATCTTTGAAGTATGCCTGTATAAAGATATATAGTATTTTACTATTGATTTTTATTTTCATAACTCAAAAGCAGCTTGCCACTAAATAAGTTAAAAATATACTGAGACAATACAAAAAAGGATACATTTTATTAAATAATATCTTAAGAAATTACAAATAATTCCATAAATGACAAACATATAAAATGAAGTGAGTGCTCATCTATTAGAATAGAACACAGTGTAGGAGAACACAGATGCAGATATAGTTCTGAAATAATCATGGACAACTTTCTTTAAACATAGTATTTTAATAATGTGCTTTTGTTTTTATAAATAGATGATCTGTAGCAATCACCATAATATAAAAGATTAACTCATTAAGAGCTCATCATCTTCCTTGAGCTGTACATGTATTAAGTAGTTTAGTCCTTACAACCATCCTGGAAGGCCAGTACTACTTTTCTTCTGGTTTTGTATATGTGAAAACAAGGGCCCTGAGAGATTAATTTAAATTTTTCAGGTTCCCACAAGGAGGAAATGGAGAAATGAGTGTTCTAACCCAGTCAGTGTGGTTCCAGAGCCCATGCTCTTAATAACTATAATATTTTATCTCATATTTTATAGACAATAGATTGCTTGATAGGAGAAGCATGACGACACAAGGAAAAAGATAATATATTTTGCTAAATAATTCATTATAACATAAAGTATGTTAGCATACTATTGGGAGCAAAGAAGAAATTTGAGTCAAAATGTTAAATAGGTGTAGATGTTTTTCAAGTAACAGTTTGTACTTGATCAAAAAGATCATTCAGAAGAGCATGATGTAGTAGTCAAGGCTGTGGGTTTTCAAATACTTTGGACTACTGTATATAGGACAACTTTGAAGGGCTAACTATAGATTGGTGAAAAAATTACTAAAACCATAAATTCTTCCTGAGCCATGGAATATAATTCTTTAAAATGGAATTTGGCTAGATCATCTATAAGATCCTTTTCAAATCTGACATTTTATACTCTTATACTAAAGTAAGAGAAAAGAAAACTTGCAATACATTTCTTTAACAAAAACATTTCTGCTCTTAAAATGGTGTGCTCTGATAGTCTTATTTCTAGATGATTCTTTCATGGTCATGGAAGTATATAAAATATTTACCTTTCAAATTTAACAGAAAAAAATGAACAATGTAATGAGGTTTAAAGGAGAATATAATTAATGAACGAATATCTATCAAATATTTATTATGCAGCAAACACTGTGCTTGATGCTGGGAAATATGGAAAATAATTCTTTTTTATTTTTTTTTTTGAGACGGAGTCTCACTCTGTCGCCCAGGCTGGAGTGCAGTGGTGCAATCTCAGCTCACAGCAAGCTCGGCCTCCCGGGTTCACGCCATTCTCCGGCCTCGGCCTCCCGAGTAGCTGGGACTACAGGCACCTGCCACCACACCCAGCTAATTTTTTGTATTTTTTTTTTAGTAGAGACGAGGTTTCTCCGTGTTAGCCAGGATGGTCTCAATCTCCTGACCTCGTGATCCGCCCGCCTCGGCCTCCCAAAGTGCTGGGATTACAGGCATGAGCCACCGCGCCCGGCTGGAAAATGATTCTTAATTATGGTCCATATGTTTCAGGATTTAAAATTTTAAATGGAGATACACGACCAAAATGCATAAAATAACAACATACAACTGTTTAAATATTATTTAACAATGAGATTGCCTTTATTTGCAAATATTTAAAAAGTCAATTCAAAATGGCTCTAACAATATAAAAATGTATTATGTATGTTAGAAAAAGTCATGAGTTAAGGTAGCTCAGGGATTGGTTAATTCATTTCTTCCATCCAACAGACCTGCCATTTCCATGTATGGATCAGGATGTATTGGTACATTTGACAAGAATTGAAAAGGGTCTGAAAATTAGTAGTCACTTATCTTGTATTTTCTAATTTCAGTGGTTCCATGTTGGTTATATAGGCGAATGTCCATGTGTTTTAGAAAACATTTAGAAAACACATGTTAAAAGTATTATGAGTTACTATGGTCTGAATATTTTTGTGTCCCCTCCCCACCCTGTGAATTCATTTACTGAAACCTAAGCCACCCTGGGATGATATTAAGAGGCAGGGTTAAAATCATCATTTAAAAGATGATTAGGTCATGAGAGTGAAGCCCTCAGGAATGGAATTAATGCCCTTCTAAAAGAAACTTGGAGGAGGAGTCTCCTTGCCCTTCCACCATAGGAGGACGCATAGAAGGCACTTTCTATGAGGAATGGACCCTCACCAGACACTGAAAGAGCTGCACCTAATCTGGAACTTCCCAGGCTTCAGAATTTTGAGCAATTAATTTCTGTGTTTGTAAATTTCTCAGTCTAAGGTATTTTGTTACAGCAGCCCAAAGAGATTAAGGGATCATGAGGCAACAATTTGGCAATGTAGTCTCAAATAGTTCAGGAAAAGAAATTCTTTACACTGTTCTTTCAACTTTTCTGTATATTTGAGATTATTTGTAAATAAATAATATTTAATACAAAAATATAAACAAAAATGTGGGCTTTCCCAAAAAAGGAACAATATGACATAAGGCTTAGAACTCTAACATATATTTGCTACATTAATTCACTTAACTAATGTTAATTGAGCATCTAATGGTTCTAAGCACTATCCAGAACTGAGTACAGATGTGTGAACAAGAGAGAAAGAGCCCCTGCCCTCATGGAGCTAAGAGTCTAGTAGACAATACAATTAAGTGAATAGGAAATCAAGATATAATAACCATTCGATGGAGGAAATGCAGGATGCTATGTGCACACGCAGGTAGGACCCCACATACCTACCTTGTAGGGTAGGCATCCTATAAAAATTTGTACCTAAGCTAAAGCCTGATGCTTGAGGAAGAGTTAAACAGCAAGTTGGCTGTTTAGAATAGTATGTGCTTGAGAGAAGTGATCCACATGGAGAAGTGTCTGAATGAATATTTGGAAATATTAATATAAGATAAGGCAACTGTCTGTAACAAATTGAGAATACTTGATTACCACAATTCAGAGCCATGAATTCCCTCACATTTAGAAATCGAGGTAAGAATTGTTTTCCTGTAGGGAAAAATGGATTTTTTTCATGATTGGTGCCAATCTTAGGAAAGCCAAGATTGTGGTTGGTTGAATAAACCATAGATAATGCAGGATCTTGAAAACCATATAATTGATATGGACTTCACCCTGAAAGAAAAATGAATCATTTGAGTTTCAAGTGAAGAAATTTTGTTTTAGTTATTTTGATTCCATTATGAGAAATGCTGTAGTATTTTATTATTTATTTATTTTTATTTTTCTAATTTTTTAAAATAGATTGAGGGGGTACAAGTGCAGCTGTATTACATGGATATTATGCAGTGGTGAAGTCTGGGCTTTTAGTGTACCCTAAGCAGTATACACTAAATCATCTACATTGTGCCCAACAGGTAGTAGTTCATTCCTCACCCCCTTGCCACCCTCCCACCTGTTGGTGTCTCCAGGGTCTATGATTACACACTGTATGTCCATGTGTACCCATTGCTTAGCTCCTATTTGTAAGTGAGAACGTGCAGTTTGTGGCTTTCTGTTTCTGAGTCATTTCAAGAGATGATGGTGAGCCAGACTCAGAAAGATGAGAAAAGTGAAAGGATTCAAGAGATATTTAGGATTTCAGGAATAATCAGAAGTTACGGATGAAGAAAGCAGCAGTTCCAGGTTTGGGCAACTGCTGAATTGTGATGCTCTTCACTGTGATTGGAAGCACAGGAAGAAAAATAGGTTTGTGTATGGAGATGATGAATTACATTCCGGATGAGGTCAGTTTTTCTATGGCGCATCTAAATACTGATGCAAAGGGACTACTGGATATATTCAAGTCTAGAACTCTGAAGCAAGGGTTGGGTTGAACAAAGAGTGTTGGAAGTTTTTGGCATACCCATGACTCGATTTGTTTTGATGGTAGATATTGCATGAGAAACGGATATTTACCTGAATATTAAGTAGAAGGGATGAGATTATAGGGGGCTTGGGATGCTGCGTCTGGACACATTTTGAACAGCAGAGGCAGAAGGTGGGATGTATTAGGGTAGAAAGAGAGAATCTAGGGGTTGAAAAACAGGTTAAGAGATTGGCCAGTAAATGGTTACAGTGATTGTATGGAGTTCTTTGAGTTTGGAGAACGGAGTTCTTTGAGTTTGCTGGACCTCCACGTGTATCACAAGCCATGCGGCCTCCAAGAGTTTCACAAACTAGTGTATGTACAGGCGTATGCGAGGAGCAGAACCACTGATAAATCCAGGGTACTCCCACCAGGTGTGAATGTCCAATGTTTGAAACAACGTACATCACGGTATCCCTTATGCCACAGGGGCCAGTGGGAGATATTAGTGATACGTTCCAAATCAGGGACTTTCCTGGAATGCTAATGCCAATTGTATCCAAGTGTATTAAAAATATCAGAAGACCCCTGAGTTTATTGACCGATCATTCTCTTATGTCCACAGTGGCTGCACTCTGAAGCAAAACTATCAGTGCATTTACAGCAGAAATATCTGCAGTTTGGTATATTCTGTACCACTGGCTGGCAAGAGGGGCAGACAAGGGTGTAGCACTCGAGGAGTGGAGATCTGCCTTCTGAGGAGACTCCAGGTGTTAAGAGAAAGTTGGAAACAAATAGCTTTTTTTCCTTTACTTTTAGAGGATGGCTGTTTTCTGATGCAGAAAGGATTTATTTCAAATAAGACGTTTTCAACAGAAATTAGAAAACTTTTTTCTTATGCATGCCAATGTTGATCTATATGTAACCTTACAGAAGTCACTTTCGACTCTAGAATTCAATGTTTTCCATTTAAAAGCAGGAATAATGCTTTATACCTCTCACATAGATACTGTAAGGTTTCATAAAATATTTACAATATTGTACAAATAGAGTACTAAGAAGATAAAGTATATAAGCTATCTTAACAAATAAGTTTTTTTTCCAAAATCAACAATTCCTATGTACTTAGTTTTAAATTAAGCATGGCTGCTACAAATTTAAAGGGCATATTTAATATTTCTTTCACAAAAATTATTGGAAGAAATGTAAAACCATCCTTCAGATTCTGTATTCAGTTTGGAAGCATATTGTATAAAAGAAAATATATTCTACACTCCCAAAGAGAATGTCAAAAGAATGAGTAAAGCAGTCACGCTGATCCTACCTTTTATATAAACAAGAAGAAGAATAAACCTTCGTGCTTTCAACCAGTTTTGAATACAGGAAAGCAGCTGGGTTCTCGAATCTTCTTTCATCACCTCAGGGTGTAACATGATTATTCAGGAAAAATCAAATTGACTTTATAACTTTGGAAAGATACATCTACAAAGAAAATAACTGAAATGAAAAACTGTAAATTATAGTTATCTATTTGAACAGGGCAAATAATTCACCCTTGTCTCAGGAGTCTCTCGTACTTCAGGGATGAAGCGTGGTTTCTGCGAGAAAAGGGCTAAAGTTAACTGACACCTGTTAGTAAGGATTTCATTATCCCCTATATTTACGTGTTCTTTTTATTGTATTGGAGAGCTAAGAAACCATCTGAAAAATGTTACATCTCTATGTAGTGAGAAAAAGAGTCCTCATAGGATAAAAATTATACTTGCAGCTGATACAATTTGGAAGATTATTGAAACAATTAATATATTTGAATATTTCAAAATCCGCAATTCAAATCACAAATGTGAACATAATGTGATCCGACCAAAAGTGTGGCTCTTACAGTGGTCTGCAGGGAAAGAGTCCTTATTGGAAAACAGGTACTTGCTTTCACTCTCTAAGCATCATGTAGTTTGAGTGTGCCAATAAAAGTCCAGAGACCTTAGTAGTGGGAGAAAATAAGCTCTTTCTCAGGAGAGCAGATAAGAAGCTCAATTAAAAAAATCCTCTTCCCACAACACTTGTTGATTCAAGTGTGAGGACTTGGATTTCACAGCCATTTGCATCCATGAATAAGATTACAAAAAGAACATTACCCTCTTCCATTTTCATTGTCACCTCTTCAAATATTGAGTGACTTGCTTGAGAAAAAGTCTAAGTTATAATCTCAAATAATTTAATACTGCCCTCTAGAGGCATTACAATAGCATTAAGTTTGCTCCTTGTGTGATTTTATTCAATTTTATCTAAAAGCACAACTCCAAAAACTCACAAAAGGGTAACTTTTTTTAAAAGTTACATAAGTTTCAAATTTTATGTGACAGTATCACATTGTGTTGAAGAAATTTAATGAAACTCAATATATTAATATTTCCTTTAAATCTAATCTTGTGAAAATTTCTAAACCATTGGCTAAGTGGCAGTATGTATACTAGAGTCCCCTAGTTGCTATGGCTTTTCTGTGAAACCCTGAAACACATGGAGTGAAATGGTCAATATAAACAAGTCCCCCACCCCACCCCCAAAAAGTCTTAATTTAAATTAAGAATTTAGAACATGAAAAATGTTTCTTTTCCCCTAAGGAAAAAGTAAAGTAGCAAACTAAAAACATTCTCTTCAAAGCATGAGTAATAGGCAATTTGCTTAAAATATGAGTCAGTGGAGAAGAAAAATAAAAGGCTGTTTTTAGAACTGAATACTTGGAAGACTTTTATGGATAGATAACTAGATTAAGCAAAGTAAATTTGGATTTACCATAACAACAGTTATGAAATATATTCAAAGAGAAGAGAATATCCAAGTATTTGGGATTTCTGCGAGAAAAAAATCAAAGATAGCATGAGTTTTATATTAAGAGGAAATTGATAGAAATTTGAAAACTAAGAACCTTTGGAAATCTTTGTCATAAAACACCTGGTCATTTGAAGACTAAAGGACTGGTCATGAGATTCTTATTTTAAAAGGAAAGTTTTATGTTTTCCGTGTAGGCCTGAAAGAAAAAACATTTTTGCTTTATGATTTTTAGCGTTAGGAAATGGTATGTAATGGTGTGTCTTTCCTATTGTCACTTAGAAAGCTATTGGGAAATAAAATGCAATGTCTGTTTTCTCCAATAAGGGCAATTTTCTGAAGTGTTTGTATTGAAAATAGTGGTTGTTATTAATATGAAGCAATAAATTACTAAATCTGCTGCATTATATAGCAGTTTTAAAGAAAACAAAGTGCTTGTTGAAATAAATTACTTCACAATTATCTGTAAAATTAATTACTTCCACTCATTTTTCCATCTTGTTGCTTGTAATCAATGATCCACTCTCACAACCTAGAAGCCTATAATTTTTCTATGGCAAGAAATGCTGTGCACAGATTGAAGTATAATTACAAAAACAAGTATTCAGGGTTAAATTTTGTTAAATTTAAACAATATGAGCTGAATACAATGATATATGAGGAACTTCATCTATATTCACATAGAAGTCATATAATCTGTAAATTTATAATTGAAATTACACACACAGTCACACACAAACATAGTTACTTAATTTAGCTGACTTCCCAAAATACAGAAGTTTTTACCTCAGAAGGAATAAATTATTGGAATAACTGTTAGAGGTTGAGCAAAA